>NC_000002.12:24479452-24630967 GCF_000001405.40 Homo sapiens | reverse complement strand
TCAAACCATCCATATTAATGTTAAAAACATTGTAAACACTGAAAATGCTGTAAAATATTCGATACATGTATAAAGTTTATTTGACTTTCCCATAGACTTTACAATAAAGTTGTTTGCTTTTTCTAATAGAATAGCAATATTTACTTGTTTTTTTATCTTTCACTTTAAAAAAAGTGATTTCATTGTTTTTATGATTACAAAATGCTTTTATGAAAAACTTGCAGTCTCTCTCCAGAAAAGAACTCATTTCTTCACATAATTTTTTAGGTGACTTAAAAAATCTAAGAATTCATGAGTGCTGTTAGAAGACATAACTGCATTATGTTGGAAAGATATGAAAACTGTTGCTCTGTGGCCAGAGCAAGAATTCCAAGTAATATATCTGAGCACCATTAGTAAGTGGCAAGAATTCCACCAGTGGACCAGTAATAAAGAGAACCACCGCCTCAGAGAAAGTTTCTTGGATATGTGCAACAAGATATATGAAGAAAGTTCATGCTAACAATGTTTATAAGAGCAAAAAATAGGAACAGCTCAAATGCCCATCAATAATAGAATCTGGTATATTGATACAATAAAACTTCACACCAGTGAAATAAATTAACAGCTTCAGTTATCCACATCTGCCTACAGGTAACCACATTCCCTTCTTATAACCAAGACAGTATAGCATTAAGATTAAAAGTATAGATTCTGGAGTTCAACTCCATTTACAGCTTTTTGACCTTAATCTTTCCATGCCTCCATTTCCTCATCTACAAAAAGTGGGATAACACTTGTACCTAGTCAAGAATTGTTCAGAGAGTAAACATTAATAAGTTACGGCCGGGCGCGGTGGCTCGCGCCTGTAATCTCAGCACTTTGGGAGGCCGAGACGGGCGGATCACGAGGTCAGGAGATCGAGACCATCCTGGCTAACACAGTGAAACCCCGTTTCTACTAAAAATACAAAAACAATTAGCCGGGCGTGATGGCAGATGCCTGTAGTCCCAGCTACTCCGGAGGCTGAGGCAGGAGAATGGTGTGAACCCAGGAGGCGGAGCTTGCAGTGAGCCGAGATCACGCCACTGGACTCCAGCGTGGGCGACAAAGCGAGACTCCATCTCAAAAAAAAAAATACATATATATATATATATATATATATATATATGTATGTATGTTACTTAAAACAGTGTCTGGCACATGATAAACAACATGAAAGTGTTTGATTAATAACCAGACTACAGCCAACTAAATTTAATTTAATTTGTCTTCTACTTGGCAGCCACCTTTCTAACAAATGATTGCGGCATCATGTTTTCCCTTAGTTTTTCCCTGACTTGGATGTCACACATTCCTTTAATTATTCATTATATCCTCCTGTTTCAGTAACATATATTCAGGAGATTTTAGGTACCTTTTTTTGTTTTTAAATCTCATTGTTTCTAGGAAGATATAAATGTTTACATTCTAAGTTTAATGATAAAGTGTAAAAAAAAAAAAAAAAAACCCAAACAGTACAGTAAGAGGTCAACCCAGAGTTATTTTGTTATATCTTAATTTTTACTTCCTGCTCCTTTTGAAAAAAGGCAGATTATAAACTTTTATAAACTGTGTGTTTACAAGTCTGTATATCAACTACTAAATCTAAAATATTCATGACTCTTACACGCACCATTATATTTATGTTAAACAGATAAGCACTGAAATAGACTAGTATATTTCAATATTACTAATTCTGGGTGCAGTATAAACACATCTATTTTGAAGACAAACTATTCTCAAAAGACTGTTGCTAATTTTTTTAATGCTCTATTCTAAGGGCCTGCATGCATTTGCCTATTTATTAAGTTCCAAACTAAATTCCTCCCTTCTCCTTTACTTTTTCCCATCCTTAAAAAGGTACCTTTATACCCATTCAACTGCTGCTACCCAAAACCTAGATATCACCACCCTTTAAATTTTTACACTATCACACTTTATTTATTCAATCACCAAGCCCCACCTTATCTATTCCCCTGCACACACACAAATCCACTATTCTAATCCTGCTTACACACCCCTTCCACAGGGTTTTATCTCACTTATGATAAAATCCAAAACTCACAGCATAGCCACTCTCCCCAAAGCATACTATGCTTTAACCACACTGGTCTTTCCTAAAAGTTTCTCCTATTCCCCAATCTTTCTTCCTTACTCTAAGGCCTTCCCTACAATATGTTATCTGCTGTGAATAATCCCTCATACCTTCTTCATCTATCCAATTCCTATTCATTGTTCAAACTTCAGCTAAAATTCTACTTCTCTTAACCCAGTAATCTAAATCAGCCTCCACTGTACTTTCATAGCATTTTCTACGTTTTCTTCACAGCATATTTTCCACTATTTTATTTACATATTTGTTGTGTGATTATGTGTTTATTGTGTATCTCTCTCACTCAACTGTAAGCTCCGTGTAGGTATTTTTAATCTGGAGCAGAGTAGATACACAACATTAAAAAAAATTAATATATGCAATTAATGAACCTGCTCTAATTCAACAATCCTAATATAGTTAAAAGCTCAAAGAGAATAAGCTCTGATCATTAAACTGGTCAAAGAACATTACACATTTTTCTATACAAACCCATGAGCTTCAGAATAATGGCACGAGGTGGGGTACATAACAGATTTTTTTTTTTTTTTTCTGAGATGGAGTTTCGCTTTTGTCACCCAGACTGGAGTGCAATGGCACAATCTTGGCTCACTGCAACCTCTGCCTCCCAGGTTCAAGCAATTCTCCTGCCTCAGCGTCCCAAGTAGCTGGAGTTACAGGCGTCCGCCACCACACCCAGCTAATTTTTGTATTTTTAGTAGAGACGGGGTTTCAACATGTTGGCCAAGCTGGTCTCAAACTCCTGACCTCAGGTCCTCCACCCGCCTCAGCCTCCCAAAGTGCTGGGATTACAGGCGTGAGCCACCGCGCCCGGCCTCCCAGATTATTAATATAAGGAATTAGGCACAGATTTGAAGGTGAGAACAGAGGGAGGAAGAAAAACTAAAACACAATTAGTAAAACTGCTAGATTAGCCTCTATTACTTGGAGGAAGAGCATTTTTGTATCATCATTCTGCAATACAATTTCTCTCTGTATTTGCCACAAGGCAAGAGAAAACAAGATGTCAGAGAAAATCCACACTCAAAAACCTAAAAATTAAACCTAACACCTAAACTGCAAGTGTTTAGTTCTTTCCTAAAGAACAACTCTACTTAATCAAAAAGCTTCTACTGAGGACCATCAAAACCAAGTTGTTCTAAATCTCCAAAACATTATGGCAGGATACTCAGATAGGATTTTAATTTCCAATATAGGTTTTATATGTGTTAGAAGATGGCATTCTACTAAGGCCCAAGAAAAAGTAAATATTAAATCTCTTTAGGTGATAGTTAAAACTGGCATAGATTTTATCAGATAACTGTTTGCATTACTAATTTTTTCTATGTGCAGGTTCTATCTACTCTACCACACTGCTAACTGACAACGACAGTCTTACCAGTTCTTCGTACCCCTTAAGGATAGCAAAGAACAGCTACTAAAGTTAACAGTAAAACTATTTGTTTCCAAGTATTTAGATTTATTTTTATCATATTTCTAAATTACATATTACCTTTTAAAGTAGAGTAGTGACCAGCATCTGTACTTAGAGATTTTAATAAGTAATTCCATTTTTGGGGGATGCAAAGTTTAATTATATAACAAAGTGTGCTAATTTATATCACATGTAACCATCACTTTCCATATGGTGACATGCACAGTAGTGGGGGTAGGGGGTGAGGAATGACAAACAGAGACCTAGCCTTAACTTAAAAAAAAAAAAAAAAAAAAAACAGCAAAAAACAAAAAAACAGGTATTAAACATTAGTAAGGAATTTTAAAATCAAATTATAAAACATTTGCTTTTTATTTCTTTTACTCAGTATACCTCAGTATACATATTTTCTCTTTCTAACAGGCAGTCATTCAATTCTCAAATATTTAAAAGCCTAATATGTGATAGGCATTGTACCAAGTGCTAGGGATACAGAGTTGAACTCTCCTTTAGCTTACATTCTAATAGGAGAAAAGAAAACAGAATAATGAAGTAGAGAGTGACTAGGAGAGATACTTTAGAATAGTGATTAAGAAGAGTTTATATATTAGGGGAATATCTGAGCTAAGACCACATATAAAATCTTAATCCCACAATTATTCAGAAATCAATGATTTCATAGTATGCATGCAATGAAAACCCAGTAGAAATTCTTATCCTCCTTTACCAATCTTGAACTTCTCACTATTAACAAAATGATGCCATATTTAGATATCCAGGTAACATCCAAAATTTATTAGGTCAAAAAGAAAATCCTCATCTCTACCACTTAAAGTCACTATTAAATACACTGCTATCACCAGCAACCATACTACCACTTTCCCAGCTCTCTCGGTTCTTAGAACTGCTTCAGTCAGCTTGCCTTGCTTTTCCTATATTCAATCCATTGAAATCTCCTGCTAATTTTCTCTCTCCAGTGTTTATCAGAACAGCATCACGTTCATTATTTTCAAATCATCATTATACTCCATACTGTTAGCAATCCAAGTCTGAAGCACTTTAGCAGCACGTCTAACTCCTATCCCTGGTCTGCCTATGCAGTATATCCTGCTGAACAAGTCCCCACATCTCATGTCACAATGTCACACCCCTAGTCACCACTCAACAGTGCCTTTCCATAAAGAATTCACACTTGCTACCTTGCATTCAAGGTCTCCCATTATCACAGCCAGCAATGACAGAGCTTAAATATACATGAGGAAAGTGACTAAATTAAATAGAGAAAAACATACACACTGCTACAGCTGAAGATTTTAATGCCCCTCTCTCACCATTTGATAGAAGAACCAGACCCCTCTAAAACAAAAATCAATAAAGACATGGTAGATCTGATCAGCCACCTCAACCTAAGTGACATTTTTAGAACACTATATCCAACAACTATAGAATACATTGTTTTTGAGTACATGTAATTTCACCAAGACTGATATGATTTATGCTGATAAGTCGAAATAAATTTAAAAGGATTAAACTTCTCAGAGTGTGCTGTTTGAACACAACTGAAATAAATTAAAAACCAGTAACAGTAAGACATTTAGAAAAACTCCAAAACTTCAAATATTTAAAACCAACACACTTCTAAATAATCCATGGAGGAAAAAAAAAAAACAAAACAGAAAACACTGAATTATTTCAAATGGAATGTAATGAAAAGTACAAATAAAAATACATACAAACATCTGGAGAGCACAGAGAAGGCAGTGTTTAGAGGGGAGGGAGAAGATTTTATAGCTTTAAATGTCTCCTTTGGGGGAAATAGATTTCAAGGTTCTATCTTAAGAAGCTAGGAAGAAAAGAGCAAAGTAAACCCAAAGGAAGTAAAAGAAAGAAGATAATCTAAATGCAGAAATCAGTGAAAGAAATAAAACAGTAGAAAAAATTAACAAAGCAAAAGTTAGTTCCTTGAAAAGATCAACAAAATTTTTAAATCCCCAGTTCATGTGGCCATGAACACATTCTCACCTTTCCTTCAACTTTTTTTTTTTTTTTTTTTTTGAGGCAGAGTCTCGCTGTGTCACCCAGGCTGGAGTACAGTGTGCAATCTCGGCTCACTGCTACTCCCACCTCCTGGGTTCAAGCAATTCTCGTGCCTCAGCCTCCTGAGTAGCAGGGATTACAGGTGTATACCACCACATCTGGCCAGTTTTTACATATTTAAATGGTTGAAAAAAAACACAGGAAGCATAATATTTCATGACACAACAAAATTACATGAAATTCAATTTCAATGTCCATAAAAAAGTTTTGTTGGAATAGTCACACTCATTTGTTTCTTACCGTGAGACAAGAAAATTATATAAAACTCAATTTCACTGTCCATAAACAAAGTTTTGTTGGAATACACTCACACTCATTTGTTTATGACTTACTGTCTATGGCTGCTTTCACACTACACCAGCTGAGTCCAGTAGCTCCCGTATGGTTGGCAATGCCTACAGCATTTACTATCTGGTCCTTTACAGTAAAAGTTTGTCAAACCCTTCTCTACACATACTCTTTCTCCTCCTCCTCTCCTCTCTCTGTCAATTCATGCATCCACCCCAAGAGTCAGCTCAAAATCCACTTATAAGAACTGTTATTTTTACTTCCTGGAAAATATTCTGTTCAAAATATTCTATATTGATACGTAGAGTAATATCTTGCATATGTATATATTGTTTCATCATTTAGCAGCAACTTCCCTAAGAAAGGAATTGTATCTGCCATTCATCAACAAAACACTCAGTAGCATTTGAACAAGTAAATGGACCAGAGTTAAGAAAACTCCCTTGACTCTTCTCACCAGAAGCAAGGACCAAAGCTGGTGGGGGAAGCAGGGTTGGTAGGCAGGGAGAACAGGGGCAGAGAATCTATTGAAAATTGAATATGCATACATTGAAAACTTTTTGTTCTTATTAAATACAGAAATGTAATCTGTCTACTTTCTAAAAATAAAAGCTTATTTTCTCTGATTATGACAGAACTATTTGCCTTATGAATCAAGAACAGAAAATAGAAAAATTTACTTGATTAATAGCCCCTTCTTTCCCATAGATCATCAGTTCTTAAATTCTTTTGGTTTAAGGATCCCTTTATACTTTTAAAAATTATCAAGGACCCAAAGAGGTTTAATTAATATGAGTTACCAATATTTATTGTATTGTCAGTTAAAACTGAGAATAGCCCTTTAATAACCCATTTTTTTTCTTTACTGCAATTATGGAGTAACAAAGAAAATAACCAAGAATACAATTGGGTACTATAGCCTCGGTTTATGAGAAGGCACCAATTTTACCCTCCATTACTTTTGCACTATTGGTGAGAATGTCTAGACAACAGAAAAGGAACACAACACCTTAATATTATTAATAAAACAATTTTGATGTTGTGGACTCCATGAAAAGGTCTTAGGGGCTCTGTTATAGACTGAATTGTGTCCCCTTCTCAAGTTTATATGTGAAGTTCTAACCCCCAGTGTGACTGTACTTGGAGACAGGGCTAGTAAGGAGGTAACTAAGGTTAAATGAAGTCCTAAGGGTGGAGCCCCAGTCCAATAAGACTGGTGTCCTTATAGGAGGAGGAAGAGACACCAGGAGTGCACAGGCACAGAGGAAAGGTAATGTGAGGACACAGGAAGATGGCGGCCAAATACAGAGAGGCCTCACCAGAAACCAACCCTGACGGTATCTTGATCTTGGTCTTTCAGTTTCCGGAACTGTGAGAAAATAAATTTCTGTTGTTTAAACCACCCAGTCTGTGGTATTCTGCTATGGCAGTCCAAGCAGCCTAATACAGACCCTCCGAGGGGTGTGCAGACCATATGATGAGAACTTTTGCCCTAGATACATATTTCTTATTATCTTTTTATGTGCTCTGAAGGAAGAGGGCAAAGACCCTTTCAAAGACAAAGACAGAGATCTGGAGCCCAGAAAAAGAAAATTAGATGATATCCAAGAACAGTGAAGAAGATAAATTCCCTGATAAAAATGAGAAAGTAAAAAAATTCCATAGGTAATCCATATAAGCTGGGCTGTCTCACCAATCTATACTTAGCTCTCCCAAATACCACATTACTTAGACAATGCTATGAAATTTAAGCCTCCCATTCTCATACTCTTACTATATCACTTTTCTGAGTTTCCACCTCTAACTTCTTTTAGTCCTTTGAATATTCATCACTTGTTTGACCTTACAGAATTTGGCTAGGGAGGTTTGAGGTGAACTTCCTAGCAAATTAGTCACTTTTCTCTTTGACCTTTCAGACATATTCCAAGAAAAGTATACTGGTTGTCCTCCGCTTCTTCTCAATATCCTTGTAATGCCTGGTAAATGTGGACACACAGCTCAAGTCTTTAGCCCTCTGCTCTTCTGTCCCCATGAATATATATACACATGAACATATGTACATGTGTCCACATGGTCATACACAAACACATGCAACACATACATACTCTCTTTCCTTAGAGAAGTACCAATGTTCTTCTACATTCAACTTAAAAATCTATTGAGTATCTTTTATGTGACACCTCAATAAATTCAACCTACTAGGAGAAACCATAAATGACCAAATTAATACCCCCAGAAAAATGAGCCAAGAACAAAAGCAAGCAATGCACAAAAGATGATCTGCATATGGGCAATAAAAATTCTGATATACCCAACCTTCTTAATAACTGTTTGAATTAAAATTATGGCAATGTAATTACTCATCTATCAAAATGGCAAAAGACTAAAAAAACTGACAAAATCCAGCACTGGTAAGGGTCTAGGGAAATATACAATGTCTTATATTGTTTTTGGAATAGAAATTGGTATATCCTTCTGGAGTTACCAAAATAATTACAATGCACAATCTATCTTCTAAGAATTTGTCTTCACCATATAATCAAAAGTACAAAGACATAATCATAAGTATAGGGCAGTAGTTATTAACTGGGGCTGTATTACCTCCCAGGAAACACTGGTAATGTTTGGAGGCATTTTTGGTTATCACAGCTCAGGGTGGAGAGTGCTACAGATGTCTACTAGGTAGATATCAGATGCTGCTGAACATCTTACAATGCATAAGTACAGTCCCCACAACAAAGAATTATCTGACCCCAAAGTCAACAGTGCTGTTGTTGAGAAACAGTGGTATATGAGGATAAATTATTTTTTACCATTGTGGCTACAAATGCTTCTCCTCAGAAGGGAAAAAAAACAACAGTTCTTATTTAGGTCAAATTCCTGTATACTAACTGGCTATACTGGAGGTCAGTGTGCATTAAACCAAACTGCTGTATGGTTCTCCTTCTCCTATGTTCATCATCTATTTTGCTGGATATGTAAGTGGATGCAGCCTGATTTCTCAGGAGTGTCTGAGCATTTTCCTCTCACACAGTTAACATGTCAAAACATGCGGGGACTAGAGGTGTCACTCTGTGAACAGAACCTGACAGTCAGCTAACAGTATACGGTCAAACATTAGGTTTGGGGAAATGAGACAAAGGCATGTATCAATTCCTAACAAAGCTTCCTAGGATACAGAAAGACAGAGATTAGGTACAAATTAGACCTACAGGGATTCAAATTCATGAGCGCTGCTTAGAAAGCTGCCTGAAAGGCTGGGCGTGGTGGCGCATGCCTGTAATCCCAGCACTTTGGGAAGCCGAAGAGGATGGATCACCCGAGGTCTGGAGTTTGAGACCAGCCTGGCCAACATGGTGAAACCCTGCCTCTACTAAAAATACAAAAAATTAGCCGGGCATGGTGGCAGGTGCCTGTAATCCCAGCTACTCAGGAGGCTGAGGCAGAAGAATCACTTGAACCCAGGAGGGAACCCAGGAGGTGGAGGTTGCAGTGAGCTGAGATCGCACCATTGCACTCCAGCCTTGAGACGGAGTGAAACTGCAGCCTTGAGACGGAAACTCTGTCTCAAAAAAAAAAAAAAAAAAAAAAAAAAAAAAAAATCTGCCTGAATACACACATAACACAAAAAATGAAATCTGAATTTCTAGACAATAACAATGTTCAATTAGACACTGAAGTGGTTCAAGTATTCAAACGGAAAACAAAAAAACAAGAGATTTTAAATATACCAGATATATAATAAGGGGACAAAGGAAGCCTCAGGAAAGATGAGGACTGAAGTGCCGTTACTGTAATTTTCTAAATGTTTCACAACAAGACAAGGCATTTCACATGCCATATTCCAGGAAAGGGGCCAGGTGAATAAGGGAACTCCTCCCCACCCCCCACATACCACACAAGATTATGAGAATCACAGTAACAACTCTTCCCATGACGAAAGCAGGGTAGATAAGAGGGCTGGGATACTCCAAAGAAGGAATAAGGAAAAATTTCTAGCTTAGTTAACAAGAAGAAACATGGTATCATGAATTCAAAGTAGCATTTCTTTTCAAATATCCTGTTATTATCTCTTACCACTAACACAGAAAGATACTTACCCTAATTAGCTTAAATTTTGTCACACATATGCAATTCTTACTTAAGTAGCATAGAAAGGTCCTGCATATCCTAAATTTTTATAAATCAAATTACATTCTTTATATATAAGCTACAATATTCCATTCAATGAAATTCTGTGAATCATTCTTTAAAAAATTAATCCCATCTTAACACATTTGTATAAAATCAAATTTTTATACATGTGAGCCAGTGAACATACAAAACACTTTAAAAACATACAACAAAAATAAGAATTAAATTTGTCTATATTATTTTGCATATTCCCAGAAAGACTCATAATATTGAATAGTTTTGTTTTGTTTTTGAGACCAGTTTCGCTCTTGCTGCCCAAGCTGGAGTACAATGGCGTGATCTCAGCTCACCAAAACCTCCGCCTCCCAGGTTCAAGCAAGAAATTCTCCTGCCTCAGCCTTCCCAAGTAGCTGGGATTACAGGCATGCACCACCACACCCGGCTAATTTTTGTATTTTTAGTAGAGACGGGGTTTCTCTATGTTGGTCAGGCTGGTCTCAAACTCCTGACCTCAGGTGATCCGTCCACCTCGGCCTCCCAAAGTGTTGGGATTACAGGCGTGAGCCAGCACGCCCAGCCAATATTGAATAGTTAATAACAATCTGAACATGAGGTTTGCTGTAAAAGCTGAACAAACCAAATTATACAAAGTTTGGCAATAGTAATGAAAATAGAAATCTGAAATTATTGCCAGTTTATTATTGCAAGATGAACTGAGTCTCCCCAAAGGCATGCTTTTCTTAGTCTTAGTTTGGGCTTTGAACTTGCTGAGAAGGAATTTAAATTTTGTAGAAAGGATAAGAATTTTACCCAGAAAAACTGGAAAGAATTCTGTACAGTAAGTATGAGGAACGACTGAGGAGTCTGAAAAGACTGAGAGGGTAGGCTGTTTTGGGGAGAGAAGGTCAGGAAGAGGTAGGATGTGGCCAGTTAAAGAAGAACAAGAAAATCTGAGAAAGAACAAAGATACTTAAAGGCAATTTATAGGAAGTAAATCTTGCTGGATCAAACTACTCCTTTTATACCCCCAAAAAACCCTTTAGGAATAATCTCTATTATTTATCACCAAAAATATAATTTTATAATTATCTTTGTAATTATATAACTATAATTATTTTTAAAATGTTTTGCTTGTTTTCTTGTTTGTAAGAAGTCTGGAAGAGAACTTCAAGGACAGAGAATGGTAGTCTAAGGATCAAAACCAATCTGTCCCCCTGCCCCGACCAAATAATTACACCATAAGTATTCTATCTCTTACTGAAAAACAACATATTTCTCCAAGTTAACCAACCAGTCAGTTTATTGGTTAACTCAAGGTCATAATGAAGTCAAGGCTCTGGGTCTGGACCCCTTTGATCCATTAACTGTTCTAAACTGAGTTCACAGGCTATATTCCCAATGTTTGGTAAGCTGCCTTTCAAAAGAAGTAGTTCGTTAGTCAGATAAGGGTAGTTGAGAGAGTATGAATGAATCAATGAGAAATGATCACTCCTACTATTGGTAGTAGATTCACTAATTTTGAATCTAAGGCCATATTATTAATACTTTGTGGGAAAAGGTCAAAGAATCTTCAACAGTTTGGAAAATTATTCTTTTTCAGTTTCATGTAAGCTTTCACAAGAAGGTTCACCATTTAATTTTAAGTCTAAAACAAACCCAAGTGAATACTTTCCAAGAATAAAGGTTACATTCATAAAAGAATTACTACTTATGACACAATTATATCATTTTAATGATGCCTAAATAGAAGCAATTAAACAACTAACAAGGTGAAAGAAACTATGAAACGTCCTGTTAATTGTTGACTATAGCAGAAGAGTTTTAAAAATCACACATTTTGTTTAAATTCCTCTCACGTAAAAATCCAACAAAGCAATAATGGTAACATAAGTAGTAAGTAACATCAAATTTTTAATCATAAGTGAAAAGACAGTATAAATTGTCTCCTCTTTCCTATTTAACCATCTGGAACATATTACAAACTCTCTGAAAGCAAGAAAAATCTGCAAGTATAATTACACTTTGGGACTATTAGCATGACATGCCTCAATAAATACTTCTAATAGGATCTGCTGATAGAATAACTGGCACTAAAATGGATGGATTTTCATTATTTGCCTATTTGTTCTTACTGGCTAAATGCTCAAAAAAAAAACCAATGAACTGTTTATTGAATACAGGAGGGGGGAACATACACCCAGCAAGGGCAAGGTATGGCAGTTTGTAGAGGTAGAACAGAAGGAATGAGCACAGATTTGTGAAGGCCTGAGTTCAAATCATATTTTCTCTCCCACCCTTCCTTCCTTCACCTCTCCTCACCCCAAATCTGCATAACTATCCATGCTCTGGTTAAAAGTCACTTGGTTAAGGTTAGGTGAATATATTAAATTAAATCTTGAGTTGGCTGAATTCCATTGGCTGAAGGTCTTCAGACCAGATGGTAAACTAGTTACAAGGAATAACATTCACAATTTCCTCTGTTCTTGATGGTTTTTGAGATTTAATATATAGCCACTTAAATGGAACAGTGAAGCAAGTGAAGAACTGCATCAGTAAGGATTTTCAGGAAGGGAGCTTGGCAGCTGAGCAGCAAAGTCAAGAGGCTGCCGTGTCTTATCCAGATATAATGAGTAGTTGAACTAAGCAGCAATAGTTGGAGTGAAGAAGACATTATTAAACTAATTCAACAAGTGTTGGGAGTGAAAAAGGGAGGCCAAATTGTCTGCATGTGTGAATTACAAAAGTAATTCATTTTTACTACACAACTTTGGAAAATACAGGTAAATAAAAATAAAATTAAAATCACCCATAGCTGTACTATCTAGAATTAAAGTGAATATCTGCATATGCATTCTTTCTATAAATATCTCTATATAGTTTTATTTTAATAATTATGGAATTATAATGAATATATTGCTTAAGAGCATCTTTTTTCACTAAGTTTACATATGTTCCTTCTCATGTCATTAAATATTCCACAGAGATTTTACTGTCTGTAAAATATTTCTGCGTGTGTGCGTGTGTGTGTATATCACAGTTTTTAAGAAATGCAGTGATTATGACTTCAGATTGGCTCCAATTTTTTGTTTTTTGGTATTAAATAAAATACAGGTACTGTGATGAGGCATCTTCTGGCTAAAACTTTGTTTATATTCTCTGAATAAGCTCCTATGAACACCAAGGTTCCTGGCATGAGGGACTCATTAATGCCATTTAGCCAAGCCTGAGTTTATGGGAGATAACAGATGTCTGAGGGAGAGGCTGATTAACTCAGTTACGTACACATTAATCATGAGGTGGCAACAGGACACCCAAGAAGATATGTTCAGATGACTTTCAAAGAAGTGGAATATAAAGGATTCTGGAATCACTAACACATTAATGATAGTGGAGTGTATGAGATGACCAACAGAACGTGTGCAGAAAGAGAAGAGAATGGATTACTATGGAAGCACTGCAATATTTCAAGAGGGACACTGTTACAGCTGGAAGAACAAGTAAAAAAGAGAGAAAATGGATAGAGGTAAAAGGAAAACCAGCAGAAGTTGAGGTGGAGAGATCATAACGTTCAGTTTCGAGAAGGATTTTTGTACCTGCCAAAACAATCACAACAAACTCTTAGAAAAAAGTGCCCAAAGGTAATGAAGAGTCTGCTAAAATTTAAACCCCAATTAGGCATGAATACTCTTCTCTCAAAGGGCCCTGAAATTCAACATACCCCAACAACACCACAGTCATTGGAGCAACATGCTTTTATGTTCAACATTTCTACCATCCTCCCCAACTTCATACCATAAAGATGCAAACAAGTATTTGATGGTAAGTTTGTAGGACAGTATTATAAAGTCTCTTTTTGAGGGGTGGTGTCTAAAACTGTATCTCTCCATCCAAGGTTTTGGCTACTCCTAGTATACTAAGATTTGTCATCACAGTAAACATGTCTATGTTCACAATTTCGACCTCATTTTATAAACTTTCCAAAGTATCGCTTTCAGAATCAATTTTTTACAGACTGGATTTCATTTTTCCCTTCCTCTTTCTAGCCTCTGCTAAATCCTCAGGGATTAAGAGCTTAAGTCCCCTAACAACTGTTTTCCAATGTTTCCAAATACCCACACTAACTGCTCTACTTTCCTCAGTTCTAGTCAGGGACTGCTCATGTCCTGAGCAGGACTACAGTACATATAAAAAACTACAGTACTTCTAGGTAGGTGTCATACAGATATGCAAGTAGGAGATCAAAAGTGTACTCTTATATCAAGTCACACTCATCAGGTTACCAAAACATGCAGAACTGCTGCCTCTGTTTTGGGGGTATTTTTAAAGACCAACTTCATTTATTTTCCTATAATCCCCGATATCATTTTATCCATTACAACATCATCTTCCTTCCCCTAGACTCACATTCCTCCCCTTCCAAGAAATTCTTTATTCATTCCCTTTCACTTTTCCCAGTTTTGCCAAAAGAAATGGTATTTCTCTTGCATTTTTAATATGCTATTTTATTGGGAACATTGGAGAAAGATGGAAAGAAATCTCAACTATCAAATCCATACAAGAGCAACAAACGGTATCAAATTAAAACTATGTACTATGGTAACTATGTAACAAATTATTTTTCATCATCTGTGAAAAAGGATGGTAGGAAAAGGGAAATGTGCAAATAGCAGACACAACTCATGATGAAATTCACCCCACATACAAATCATCATTTCCATCCTCTGAAGGTTACTATTCCTTTGTTTCTCTTCTCTCTTCCTCTAATGTATAACCTAATGTGACAATGCTACCAAGTAACAAGCATGTAGACTCCAAAAAGTGCTATTTGATAGAAAATTCAGTATTACATATAAAGAGTGCCATTTTTATTTTACTTTGAAAAATTGTCTGCTTTAGTAAAAACTGAACCTAAAAGTAGGCTCTTAATATTCTAACACTGTCCTTATAAAAGTTTCCTAAGATCCCTGATCTTTTCATAAATGTTGGATGAATGGAACACCTTTGTAGTAATGACAAATTTCAGCCAGCCTTTACTTTTCCTCCTATCTGGACTTACTACTCTAATCCCTCACATTCTCATCCTCTTCCCTCTAGAAAGCCATTCCTCATCTGCAATGGTTTGGCTGAGTAACCCTCCTATGTGTCCTAGCATCTAACAAAAAAAGTAACTGTGTATGTATCTATCTGATTATATAGATAAGTTAACTGCAAGCTTCTTGAAAGCAGTGAGACTATGTCTCACTCACCGTTTTATCTCCAGAGCCTAGGACAATGCTTGGCACTTGTTAGATTCTCAACATTGACAGTCAGCATTGGCCCCCACCAGCACCATCGACCAGTACCCATCAGCTATTCCATCAACAACGTCCTAGACTAAGGCTTACTACAATCTCCTGCAGAGAAGCCAACATAACTTCTTAGAGGATTCCTTAAGTTCTGATACTAACCATCTACTGTGTGCCAAGCAATATATTACAGGTTCTATTTTATGTTATTTCTTCAAAAACCCCATGAAGTAAAAATAGTTATCCTCCTTTACCAACAAAATAATAAGAGGTCTGTGATAATTTACTTTCTCATAGCTACTAGTAACAAGCAGTTGAGCAGAGATTCATGCCTAAGTCTATCTGACTGTAAACTGAGGCCATTTCTACTGTGTTATTCTGCTTCCTCAATACCTACACAAAATCAACATAAATACATAATTTATCCAAATATATTTTTCTTGCTATATTCTGTAATGTCACAAACCCTTTGGGAATCAATAAAATTAACTCTGTGAATCACCTGGAAGACTGTAAAGATGGTAGGTTAAGATTACATGCTCTGGAATCAGAATGACTACTTGGATTCAAATAACAATTCTGCTACCCACTAGCTATATAAACTTGAATAATTCAATTTCTCTGTGCTTTGATTTGCTAATCTCTAAAATGGGAATACAAGTGGTAGCTATAGGATTCTTGTGAATAATAAATGACAAGATATGTGAAGGACTTAGAATGGAGCCTAGCATATAACAATATTAATACTAACAGCTAGAATTAGTGCATGCTTACAATATATGTTACCTTATTTTCAATAAACACTAGCTGTTATTATTTAATTATCTAAGTTTACATGAAGAAATAACTTTTTCTATGTCAGTGGTTCTCAGACTTGCAGTGCATCAGAATTATCTAGGAGGCTTTTAAACATACCCACAGGCCCTGCACCCTAGAGATTCTGACATGTAGGTGTGGTTGGGCTTTAGAAACTATTCTTTTGAAAATTTTCCAAGAGGATTCCCACTGCCTGAGATATGAGAATATGCTGGGCTAGAGATCTTAAAACATTTCTATTTTAAACGTCTGATATAAAGAATGAAAATGGGCTAGGTGCAATGACTCATACCTGTAATCCCAGCACTTTGCAAGGCCGAGGCAGGCAGATCACTTGAGCCCAGGAGTTCAAGAGTAGCCTGAACAACATGACAAAACCCTGTCTCTCCAAACAAAACAAAACAAAAACAAAAAAGTAGCCAGGTGTGGTGGTGTATACCTATAGTCCCAGCTACACAGGAGGTTGAGGTGGGAGGATCCCCTGACCCCAGGTGGTTGAGGCTGCATGCAGTCAGCTGTGATCACACCACTGTACTCCAGCCTGGATAACAGAATGAAACCCCATAGCAAAAAAAAAAAAAAAAAAAAAAAAAAAAAAAAGAATGGAAATGAATCGATACAATAGGCAGAAAAGCAAGTAATAAAGCTTCCAGATACTCCTGGGGCATATATGAATCCTAGTAACCTAGGGTTGGAAAGGATTGAGAAAAAAGTTTAGGCCTCTGAAAGTCAGGTAAGACACTATCAGACAAAGACAGGGCCCAAGAAGGACAATAACACCAGGAAAAGGGTAAATTCAAACATTAAAAACACCTTCAAAGGCAAACATCAAAGAAAACCTCTTGGCCTTAGCAAAGACATCATGAGGATTTGGTGCCTGAATCATCTATGCTATGTGAATACTCCTAAAACTCAAAAGTCGGGGTGCAGCAGGACCTTCTCTGCTTCACACCCAGGCAGATCTCCAGGTAACTGGAGCACCCATTCACCGGGATCAGCAGGCTAAGCCAGCCCACTCTCCCCATGCCAAGACCATGGTAAAGCAGGGCACTCTCTGCCCCATTCCCGGGCATAGCTTCAGGCAGTCAGAGGACCCATTTGCATGGATTGCTAGCCTGAGACACCCCATCCTTCCTGTGTAGAGATTGTGGTACAGCAGGGCCCTCTGTACGCAGCACCCAGGCAGATCTCCAGGTACCTGGAGTACCCACTCTCCTGGATTAAGAGTTCAGGCCTCCACCCCTGCCTGTGTAGAGAACTTGGGGCCAAGGAGGTTTGCCAGCTCCATGCCTAGGACCACCTCTGGGTGCTTGGTGGCTGCCCATTGGCTTCTCCCTCAGTGTTAGTGATTGTGCCTGCCATCAGGGGACTGTAGGTGGCCTGGCCCCACTCATCTTGCTTCCCACTCCCCTGGGGCTGAGCAAGTAGCTCAGACCACTGTGCACTCCACGTATCAGCCCAATGCCTGAGGCAACAGAGAGCTTCTTCCTGTAAACAAGTATCAAGTGTATACCTAGTCACACTGGCTACAGCTGGCTAAGTGATCTTACCCGTAAGCGCCATCTACTGGCTTGTAGGTTGAACCCTACAGCCCAATATAAAATCTGCCCAAAGAAGTACATAGGCTATAGAAGCAAAGCCAAAAGATGCTACCCAGCATTCTCTACAATCATATCCCCTAGGGAGTTGGGGAATGGAAAGGGAAAGAAAAAAAAAATATTACAGGGACAGGAACAAAAAAAGAAAAAAATCCTACCTGCATGAAAATAATTACAAAAATCAAAAGTGCCAGTGTCTCCAGATGAGAAGGAACCAGTGCAAGAATTCTGGCCAAACGAAAAATCTGATCGTAGTGACACCACTCAATAATCACACTAGCTCTCCAGCAATGGCCCCTAACCAAAATGGAAACTCAGATATGACAGATAAAGAATTCAAAGCATGAATTACAAGGAAGCTCACTGGGATCCAAAAAAAGGTTGAAAATCAACACAAAGAAACTTCTAAATCATTCTAAGAAATGAAGGAAGCGGTAAATACTTTAAAAAGAAGTCAATCAGAACTTCTGGAATTGAAAACTCACTTAAGGAATTTCAAAATATTAGGGAAAGCTTTATCAATAGACTGGACCAAGCAGAAGAAAGAATTTCAGAGCTTGAAGACTGCCCTTTTGAACTGATCTAGTCAGACAAAAATAAAGAAAAAAGAATTCAAAAAAAAGGAACAAAGTCTTTAAGAAATATGGGATTATGTAAAGCAACCAAATTTACTAATTGCTGGCATTCCTGAGATGGAGAAAAAGCAAACAACCTGGAAAACACATTTGAGGGAATAATTCAAGAAAATTTCCCGAATCTTGCAAGAGAGGTAGACATTCAGATACAAGAAATTCAGAGAACACCTGTGAGATACTACACAAAACAAACATCAATAAGAAATATAATCACAAAACGATTCAAGGTCAAAGCTAATGAAAAAGTCTTAAAGGTAGTCAGAGAAAAAGGTCAGAGGAAATCCCATCAGGCTAGCAGTGGACTTCTCAGCAGAAACTGTATAAGATTGGGGGCCTATTTTCAGCATTCTTAAAGTAATTCCAACCAAGAATTTAATATCCTGCCAAACTAAGCTTCATAAGCAAAGAAGAAATAAAATCTTTTCCAGACAAGCAAGTGCTAGAGAATTCGTTACCACTAGACCAGCCTTAAAAGAGATCTTTAAGGGAATTCTAAACGTGGAAATGAAAGAAAAATAACCTTCTACCACAAAAACACAATTAAGCACACAGCTCACAGACCCTATAAAGCAACCACACAATAGAAACTACAGTGACTAGCTAACAACTTCACAATAGGATCAAAACCTCACATATCAATATTAACTGTGAATGTAAACGGTTTAAATGCCCCACTTAAAAGGCACAGAGATGAATTGGATTAAAAAAAAAAGACTCATCTATCTGTTGCCTTCAAGAGACCCATCCCGCACATAACAATACCCACGGGCTCAAAGTAAAGGGTTGGAGAAAGATCTATCATGTAAATGAAAAATAAAAAGGAGCAGGGGTTGCAAGTCTTACATCATATAAAACAGACTTTAAAATAACAGTAAAAAAAGAACAAAGAAGGACATTACATTACAATAAAGGGTTCAATTCAACAAAAAGACTTAACTATCCTAAATATAAACCCACTGGAGCACCAACTTCATAAAACAAAAAAGGGAATGCTTATACATTTTTAGTGGGAATGTAAATTACTTCACCCACTATGGGAAACGGTATGGAGGTTTCTCAAATAACTTACAACAGAACTACCATTTGGCCCAGCAAACTCAATACTAGGTACATATCCAAAAGAATATAAATTGTTATGCCAAAAAGACACATGTACTCTTACGTTCACTGCAGCACTCTTTACAATAGCAAAAACATGAAGTCAACCTAGATGCCCAACAGTAGATCAGACAAATTAAATGTGGTACACGTATACCACGAAATATTATGCAGCTGTAAAAGAAAATAAAATCATGCCACTTGCGACAACGTGGATGTAGGCCATTATTCTAAGCAAATTAACAAGGGAACAGAAAACCAAATACTGCATGTTCTCATTTATGAGTGGGAACTAAACACTGGGCACTCATGGACATAAAGATGGCAACAATAGACACTGGGACTAACAGAGCAGGGAGGGAGAGATGGGAGCAAGGGTTAAAAAATTAACTGTTGGGTACTATGCTCACTACCTGGGTGACAGGGTCATTCACACCCCAAACCTCAGCATCACACAATATACCCATGTAACAAACCTGTACATGTACTCCCTGAATCTAAAATAAAAGTTAAAAAATTTTTTAAAAGGGGAGAATTTCAAGTTAAAACCTATGTTCATAGACCCCTAACTCCAAGCACATAGTAGAAGGAAATAAAAAATCTTCCCTGGAGGAATGCACTGTGAACTCAAGTCTAAAGAGTTCCACAGTTACACAGGGTTCCAGTTAAAAAAAAGAAGTTCATGATTCAAAAAAAAAAAACCACAATAAATACAAGTAAATAAGGCACTATTAGAAAGAGCCAGAGAAAACAAACAACAAAATTTGTTGTAAAATTTCAGATATTAGAATTATCAAATATAGAATATTAAATATGTTTAATATATTAAGAGAAAAAGATGGAACAAATAAAAATACTAGTAAAGCTCGAGAGAATATAAAAAATGAATGGGCAAATCTGAAAAATAACCAAACAGAACTACTAGAATTGAAAAACATCACAAGTAAAATCATAATGGAAGAAGTAAATAAACAGAGTCAGTGAACTGTTACACAGAAATGACAAAACAATTCAGAATGCAGCGTAAAGGCTGGGCGCTGTGGCTCACACCTATAATCCCAGCACTTTGGGAGGCCAAGGTGGGCAGATTACGAGGTCAGAAGATCAAGACCATCCTGGCTAACACGGTAAAACCCTGTCTCTACTAAAAAAAAGAAAAAAAGAAAAAATACAAAAAATTAGCTGGGCGTGGTGGCAAGTGCCTGTAGTCCTAGCTATTCGGGAGGCTGAGGCAGGAGAATCGCTTGAACCGGAAGATGGAGGTTGCAGTGAGCAGAGATCACGCCACTGCACTCCAGCCTGAGCGACAGAGACTCTGTCTCAAAAAAAAAAAAAAAAAAAAAAGAATGCAGCCTATAGTCACAAAGAAATGCAAAATATGAAAGAAAGGTTAAAAGACATGGTAGAGAAAATGGAACAATTACTACCAGAAAGACTACATTCCCTGATCACAATGCAATGAAATCAAAGCCAATAAGAAAAAGACATAAAATTGTCATACATTTCAAAACTTAAAACCGTATCACTAAATAACATATGACTCAAGGAAAAAATTATAAATATTTTTAAACCCAAGAATGAAAAAATAATGAAAACGCTACATTTCAAAATCATAAAATGTAGTAAAAGCAATACTCAGAGAATGTATTCCCATCAATGCTTTCATTAGAAAAGAATGACTGAAAACTGAGCTAAATGTCTAAGAAGTTACCAGAAAGAATTTCCTCACCAAGAAAAAAAAAAGGCACAAATATAAAAGCACAAATTGATGAAACAGAAATCAAATGCACAATAAAGAGAATAATTAAACCAAAAGTTGGTCCTTTTTTATTTTTTAAGAGATGAGGTCTCGCTATGTTACCCAGGCTGGAGGTGCAGTGGCTATTCACAAGCATGATCATAGCACACTGCAGCCTTTTAACTCCTGGGCTCCAACAATCCTCCTAGTCTCAGCCTCCAGAGTTGCTGGGATGGCCCTGCTCCACCACACCCAGCCTGGTTCTTTGAAATGACTTTTAAAAATCCTGCCAATGAGATCAAGAAAGAAAATAATACAAGGTAATTATAAATGAAAGGGAGAACTTAACAACTGACAAAGCAAAGATCAATGTTTTTGTTGAAAACATTTAAGTAATAGATTTGAAAACAAATGTAACCAGTAAATTCAATTAAAAAGATACATAACCCACTAAAACTAACCTAGGACACAGTGATATAAACATATGGTTAAATAAATATTTTAAATGGAGAACAAGAAACAAATCTTTCTTACAGAAGAATTCCAAATAATTTATGTAGCTACTCCTCCCTCTGGGAGGTGAAACTTAATTCCCATGTCCTCACCCCTTGAAGGTGATTTAGTAACTTGCTTTCAAACAACAATTAAGTAAGGAAAAGAAAAAATAATGACTTTACAGTGAGTAACATGGCAATCACTATTTTACCAAGTGATGGAGGTTAATTTAACACCATCAGTGATGTCATGGATATTATGTGCCCCCTAAAATGATGTGATGAGAAGGGCCTTTCCTCTCTATGGTAGTCTTCCCACAACCTCACAAGAAAAACATCAGACAAACCCCAACAGAGAGAATATCTGGCCAGTACTCCTCAAGACTGTCAAGGTCACAAAAATAAGGAAAACCAGAAAGTGTCATAGACCAGAGGAGACTGGGAAGACATGACAATTAAATACAATGTGATACTGTGGGAACCCTGGACAGAAAGAGGATATAGGATATAAATGAAAAAAAAAAAAAAAAAACACAACAACAACAAGAAAAAAACAAAACAAAAAAACCTGTTGAAATCTAAATAAGGTGTCAAGTTCAGTGAGCCAGTGTCAGTCTCTTAGTTTTGACAAATGTACCATGGTAATGCAAATGTTAATAATGGGAGAACTGGCCAGGCATGGTGGCTCATGCCTATAATCCCAGTACTTTGGGAGGACGAGGTGGACAGATCACAAGGTCAAGAGATAGAGGCCATGCTGGCTAACAGGGTGAAACCCCATCTCTACTAAAAATACAAAAAATTAGCACGTGCTTGTAGTCCCAGCTACTTAGGAGGCTGAGGCAGGAGAATTGCTTGAACCCAGGAGGCGGAGATTGCAGTGAGCAGAGATCGCACCACTGCACTCCAGCCTGGGAGACAGAGCAAGACTGTCTCAAAATAATAATAATAATAATAATAATAATAATAATAATAATAATAATAATAATAGGGGAACTGGGTGAGGAGTATATGGGAATTCAATATACTATTCTTACAACTCTTCTGTAAATCTAAAATTATTGCTAAAAAAGTTTTTTGAAAGATGACACAAAAAGACATGAAAAGACTAAATAATCCTATAGTCATGAAGGAAACTAAATCAACAGTTTAAAATCTTCTCTAAAACTATGAGTTAGTTTTGCTTAAAAGTACAAGATTTGGTGACTAAGCGATAAACCTACTTAGAATCAACTCCAAACAGGCTTTGTTTTGTGTTCTTGGTATAAGATTGTCCAGCCTTAAAAGTGTATTGTATGGTATTACAGTAAATAAGAAAATACAGGTAGGCAAAAAGAAAAACGAATTCAACCATAATAATTTTTTAAAATCTCACAAAGAAAGTTGAGTTTTACCAAACTCAAAGAACAATTTCAGTCTTATGTAAACTCTTCAAGAAAGAGAAAATATTCATTCCCCAACTCGTTTTATGAAGCCAGTATAACCTTAATACCAAAACCAAATAGTGTAAGAAACTAAAGTAGGTGAATCTCACTTTTTTTTTTTTTAGACAAGAGTCTCGCTCTGTCATCCAGGCTGGAGTGCAGTAGCACTATTTTGGCTCACTGCAATCTCCACCCCCTGGGTTCACGCCATTCTCCTGTCTCAGCCTCCGGAGTAGCTGGGACTACAGGCACCCGCCACTACACCCGGCTAAATTTTTTGTATTTTTAGTAGAGATGGGGTTTCCCCGTGTTAGCCAGGATGGTCTTGATCTCCTGACCTCATGATCCGCCCGCCTTGGCCTCCCAAAGTGCTGGGATGACAGGTGTGAGCCACCGTGCGCCCAGCCAATCTCACTCTTGATCATAGATGCAAAACCGCCCAGCCAATCTCACTCTTGATCATAGATGCAAAACAGTACATAAAACACAAGTATCCCTCATAATTAAAAACTCAACACAGAAAATGACTATAGCAAATTTTATTAAAGATATAGCTGATATCCTGTTATTCCAACTTATCTTAATAAAATATAAATATCAAATAGACTCAAAAAAAAAAAAAACACAGTACCCCTCACTGTTCACATTCTAACTATTCACTCTCCAAAATTCAGGGTTTCCCAAATTATGCTATACAACATCTGTCTGACACCAAATAATTTCAAAATTAAATAGTACCACTTTCCTTTCAATGATGTGTTATCCTTATAAATCTGAGTTTATGGTAGTTGCTGTGAAAAAGAGCATCCCCAAGTGAAAATCAACATGGAACAAGAAGTGAGGGTGGCAATGGCAATGCCTTATCTGATTCCAAGGTTTGAGAAGTTATGCATTGCTCTGAGGTGCACACATATCCCATTAGCAAGGGACTGTGGTTATTTACAATTAAAATAAAAATATATCGAATTTATGCATATGATTTTTTCAAATAACTAATAAGTTATAAGGACATAAATACTAACTTGTTTGAAACTAAATAAACGTAGCTGTTAGGTATTTCTTTGACTTGAGGACACCATGAACTGGAAAGTTTGGGAGTATCTGAAATACTCATATAACATGGTATTTCTCACTATCCAAACTAAGACTGAAAATATGGAGACAGCAAAAAATACTTCAAACTGAAGAAAGTGATGAACAAAAGATTAATATATCTCATGACCAAGCTGAGTTTATGCTAGAAATATAAGTGCAGTTTAACATTATGAAGGTATAAGGCCAAGCATGGTGACTCATGCCTGTAATCCCAACACTTTGGGAGGCTGAGGCGGGTGGATGACCTGAGGTCAGGAGTTCGAGACCAGCCTGGCCAACATGGTGAAACTCTGTCCCTACTAAAAATACAAAAATTAGCTGGGCATGGTGGCAGGCGCCTGTAATCCCAGCTACCTGGGAGGCTGAGACAGGAGAATCTCTCAAACCCAAGAGGTGGAGGTTGCAGTGAGCTGAGATTGCACCACTGCACTCCAGCCTTGGCAACGGAGTGAGACTCTGTCACCAAAATAATAATAATAACAATAATGATAAAAATAAAAAAATAAAAATTATGAAGGTATAAATATCATTCACAAGATTAAGGAAACAAAAGAGAAATCCCAAATGTTCATCTCAATCATTACTGGTAAAACATCAGATTAAATTCAGCATTCCCGATAAATTTTTTTAAAAAAAATCTTAAAGAGAACCTCCTTGCTTCATAAAGGTAATCTAGAGAACACAGAATGTACTGTAGATATCTGTGAAATATAAGAAGCACGCTCTTTAAAATTAGAAATAACACTCATTAATCCCCACTTCTATACAACGCTGTACAAGTCTAGCCAGCACAGTAACAGGTAGGAAAAGGTACAGGAATTGGTATGAAAGAAACAAAACTTGGCCAAAAGATGGGAGAAGAGAAACTGAATGATGATGCATGGCAGATTTTTGTGGGCCAGGCCTAAAAGTGGCATAGATTACTTCTACTCACATTCTACTGACTAGAATTCATTTACATGGCCATTCCTGATGCAACAGAGGTGGAAAATTCAACCTAACTCTGTGCCCAGGAAGAAGAGGAAATTTTCAGTGTATATCTAGCCACCCTCTGCCACAAACCAAAATGGAAAATAATTTGGCATTATCTGAAATTGAATATGCACAAACCCCATAACTCAGCAATTCTACTTCTAGGAAGGGATACTTTTGCACATGCATACCACAAAATAAGAATACTCATAGCTCAATTGTTCATAGTAGAAAAAAACAATGTATCAATCAACAATAGAACAAACTGTCACATACCCTTAACTGAATAGTATAAACCCAGGAAAATAAATGTTCTACAGAGCAACATAAATAAATCTTAAAAATTTTTAAAAACTTAAGAGGTAGATAGTAGAATACATACAATATACAGGCATACCTCCTTTTATTGCACTTTGACTTATTGTGCTTTGCAGATATTGTGTTTTTTACAAATTGAAGGTTTGTGGCAACCCTGATCCAAGCAAGTCTGTCGGTGCCATTTTTCCAAAAGCATGTGTTCACTTTGTGCCTCTGTGTCACATTTTGGAAAACCTCACAATATCTCAAACTTTTTCATTATTATTATCTCTCTTATGGTGATCTGTAATCAGTGATCTTTGATTTTATTACTGTAATTGTTTTGGGGCACCATGAACATGTAAGCCCACATAAGGCAGCGAACTTAATCAACAAATGTGTATGTTCTAACTGTTCCACCAAACCAGCCATCTCCCTATTACCTGAGACACGATAATACTAAAATTAGGTCAATTAATAACCCTACAATAGCCTTTAACTGTTCAAGTGAAAGAGTCACATGTCTCTCACTTTAAATCAAAAGCTAGAAATGATTAAGCTTAGAGAAAAAGGCATGTCAAAAGCCAAGACCGGCTGGAACTAGGCCTCTTACACCAGTCAGCCAAGTTGTGAGTGCAAAAGAAAAGTTCTTGAAGGAAATTTAAAGTGCTACTCCAGCGAACACACAAATGATAAGATAGCAAAACAGCCTCCTTGTTGCTCATATGGGTAAAGTTTGAGTGGTCTGGATAGATCAAACCAGCTACAGCATTTCCTTATGCCAAAAACTAATCCAGAACAAGACCCCCAACTATCTTCAATTCTATGAAGACAGCGAGATGAAGAAGCTGCAGAAGTTTGAAGCTAACAGAGATTGGTTCATGATGGTTAAAGAAGCTGTCTCCATAACATAAAAGTGCAAGGTGAAGCAGCAAGTGCTGATGGACATACTGCAGCAAGTTATCCAGAAGATCTAACTATGATGAAAGTGGCCACACTAAACAGCAGATTTCAATGTAGATGAAACAGCCTTCTATTGGAAGAAGATGCCATTCAGGACTTTCATAGTTAGAGAGGAGACACCAACACCCAGCTTCAAAGCTTCAGAGGACAGGCTAACTCAACTCTTATTAGGGGCTAATGCAGCTGGTGACTTGAAGGTAAAGACAGTGCACAGTGACTATTCCAAAAATCCTATGGCCAATAAGAATTACGTTTAATTTACCTGGCCTGTGTGCTATAACAACAAATCCTAGATGACAGCACATCTGTTTACAGCATAGTTTAATGAATATTTTAAGCCCAATGTTAAGACCTACTGCTCAGAAAAAAAGATTCCTTTCAAAATATTACTGCTCATTCACAATGCACCTGGCCACCCAAGAACTCTGATGGAGATGTACAAGGAGATTAATGTGTTTTCCTGCCTGCTAGCATAACATCCACTCTGCAGCCCATGGATCAATGAGTAATTTTAACTATCAAATCTTATTATTTAAGAAATATATTATATAAGGCTATAACTGCCATAAATAGTAATTCCTCTGATGGATCTGGGCAAAGTAACTAAAAACCTTCTAGAAAGGCTTCATCATACTGGATGCCATTAAGAACATTCGTGATTCATGGGAGATCAAATATCAACATTAACAGGAGCCTGGAATAGATTGGTTCCAACCATCATGGATGACTTTTATGAGTTCAAGACCAGTAGAAGTAACCGCAGATATGGTAAAAACAGCAAGAGAACCAGAATTCGAAATGGAGCCTGAAAAGTGACTAAATTGCTGCAATCTCATGATAAAACATTAATGGATAAGGAGATGCTTCTTATGAATAAGCAAAGAAAGTGGTTTTTAAAGATGTTACCTACTTCTGGTGAAGATACTGTGTGAACATTGGTGAAATGACAACAAAGGATTTAGAATATTACATAAACTTGGTAAAGCAGTGGCTGAGTTTGAGATTAACTCCAATTTTGAAAGAAGATATACTGTGGGTAAAAAATGTTATCAAATAGCATCACGTTACAGAGAAATCTTTTGTGAAAGGAAGAGTCAATCAATGCAGCAAACTTCACTGTCTTATTTGAAGAAATTGCCACAAGCATTCCAATCTTCAGCAACCACCATCCTGATTAGTCAGCAACCATCAACATTGAGGTAAGACCCTCTACCAGCAAAAAGATTATGACTCACTGAAAGTTCACATAATCGTTAGCAATTTTCAGCAATAAAGTATGTTTTAATTAAGGTATATATATTTTTTTAGACACAATGCTATTGCACACTTGATAGACTACGGTATAGCATAAACGTAACTTTTATAAGCACTGGGGAAGCAAAAAATTTGTGTGATTCACTTTATAGCAATATTTGCTTTATTGTGGTAGTCTGGAACTGAACCCACAATATCTTGTAGGTACGTCTTATCTTTTTTAAAAAGTTTGATAAAATAAGTGGATCAATAGATAATTTAGGAATAGATACATACGCAGTAAAACCTTTTTAAAAATCAAGAGCATAACAGTCAAAATTCAGCATAGTGTTCACACACTGGGGAACAGTGCAGGAAGAGGAATAAGTTGAGACAGGCTTACACAGGGAGTTTCCACAGTATTGGTAAAATTCCATTTCTGAGGCTGATGTACATGACACTGCTTAGTTCACATTAACATACTAAACAATGTTTTTATATCTACTTTTATATGGAGGATAACAAATTTTTATAAAATGATTAAAGAAATTGGAGAATATTTTATTTAAAACGTTTTATTTAAATAATATTTATTTTATTTAAAAATAACTTAAATTTTTAATTTAACCTTACTTATTTATTAGCCAAAATATATTTATTGTCTTGATTACCTAAAGAAATATTCAAGAAAGTGCTAGTTACTACGTAAATTTGGAAAATAACTTAGAGTGTATTTTTTAAAACCTTACTGTTGCCAGGCGCAGTGGCACATGCCCGTAATCCCAGCACTTAGGCAGGCTGAGGTAGGCAGATTGCTTGAGCTTAGGAGTTTGAGACCAGCCTGGGCAACATGGTGAGACCCCATATCTACAAAAAATTAAAATATTAGCCCGGTGTGGTGGTGCACCCCTGTAGTCCCAGCTACTGGGGAGGCTGAGGTGGGAGAACTGCTTGGGCCTGGGAGGTCGAGGCTGCAGTGACCTGAGATTACGCCACTGCATTCCAGCCTGGGAGACAAACTGAGACCCTGCCTTTACTTTAAACTTGCTAAACTTTACTACTTAACAATCCAATTACTTGTTGCTATTCTTCCCCAATCACATGACTTGTCAGCAAATTGTAGTTAATCTCTCTGACAGCTACATTAAGTTCCAGGGTTCTTCCTAAATTTTAATTATAATGAGTATTTTTTGAAACGACAGAAGAAGTAACAAGAAAAAATTAAACGGTGAAGGCATAATAATTCTAACAAAGATTAAACTACCTGATAAGGAAGGAATTCTTGTATTCTGACTTCCGGTAAAGAAAGGACGAAGTGGCTGGGCGCAGTGGTTCACGCCTGTTATCCCAGCACTTTGGGAGGCCAAGGGAGGTGGACTGCCTGAGCTCAGGAGTTTACGACCAGCCTGGGCAACACGGTGAAACCCTGTCTCTACTAAAATACAAAAACAAATTAGCCGGGTGTGGTGGTGTGTGCCTGTAATCCCAGCCACTCAGAAGGCTGAGGCAGGAGAATTGCTTGAACCCAGGAGGCGGAGGTTACAGTGAGCTGAGATCACGCCACTGTACTCTAGCCTGGGCGACAGAGCGAGACTCCATCTCAAAAAAAGAAGAAAGAAAGAAAACAAAAAAAAAAAAAAGGAGGAAGGAGGAGCTGTTTTCCAAAGAATGATCTCTAGAGTAATCCCAATCAATAAAACTGTCAGAAAAAGATGTGGCATTAAGGTGTTATGGATCTGACCAGATGCAGTGGCTCATGGCTGTAATCCCAGCACTTTGGGAGGCAGAGGTGAAAGGACAGCTTGCAGCCAGGAGTTCGAGACCAGCTTGGTCAACATAGTGAGATGCCATCTCTAAAAATTTTTTTAAAAACTTAGCTGGGAATGGTGGTACATATTTGTAGTGCCAGCTATTTGGAAAGCTGAAGTGGGAAGATCGCTTGAGCCCAGGAGTTGGAAGTTAAAGTGAGCTCTGATTGTACCACTGTACTCTAGCCTGGGTGACAGAGTGAGGTTCTATCAAAAACAAACAAAAAAAACAGAAGATGTTAAAGATCTATTAAATCCTTTCCTCCTGGTATTATTAAAAATGTAGTTTCACTGACTCATTAACTCTTATAAATGAACAGCATTTAAAAAAAAAACACTAAAACTATAGAACTGTGTAAAGCTTCCCATGTAAATTGCATGCATATTTTAAACATTCTATTTTTCTAGTAATTTTATGTGACAAATCTTTACACTACTAGATAATATTTCCATACTGTAAGATAATAACATGTACTGAAACACTGAAAACACAAACTACTTGCAGAGAAAATCAGTTTGACTTAACGAAAACTGAGGTACAGAATATTGAGGTGAACAGAATAGTTTTATTTCAGTAATTCACATTCTATGCGTATCATATAAATTGCTATGAATGCAATCCAAAGAAGATATTTACTATGAGAGTAATAATAGTAAGAGGCAATAAGGTTTGGAGGATGGAAATTAGAATAGGGCTTGAGAAACAAGCACAGGAATAAATACTATCACCGAAAGAAATTCCTATCTGGAAAGAAAGCAAGAGGATGTAGGCTCAAGCACAGTGACAATAGTAAGAATATGTATCTCTGGCCCAAGGAATATCCCAATTAATGCCATTGTCAGGACTATGTGCAAATAATGAAAGCAAAGGCATACACAGTATAAGTAACAACAAAATAACAACGAATGGGAAATAAAAAACATAATAATTTCAATGCAGACAGGTGTGGTGGCTCAAGCCTGTAATCCCAGCACTTTGGGAGGCCAAGGCGTGCGGATCACTTGAGCTCAGGAGTTTGAGACCAGCCTGGACAACATGGCAAGACCCCATCTCTACAAAAAATACAAAAAATTAGCAGGGCGTGGTGGCACATGCCTGTAGTCTCAGCTACTCAAGAGACTGAGGCAGTAGGATGGCTTGGGCCAGGGAGGCAGAGGTTGCAGTGAGCCAACATTGCACCACCACTGCACTCCAGCCTGGGCGACAGAGCCAGACCCTGCCTCAAAAACAACAACAACAACAAAAAAACATAATCGCAATGCTGCTCCCAAGAAATGCCCAATACTTTGACGAACTTCTGAGACTGATAGACTAAAGAAGGGAATGGGGAATATGCAATAAAAGGATTTTATAAAAGTGAAGCTACAGGGCTCTGATTTATATAATAGGACTAAGGCTTAGGCATATAAAAATGATTAATCGGCTGGGCTCACGCCTGCAATCCCAGCAGTTTGGGAGGCGGAGGCGGGTGGATCACCTGAGGTCAGGAGTTCGAGACCAACCTGGCCAACATGGTGAAACCCCATCTCTACTAAAAATACAAAAATTTGCCGGACGTGGTGGCGGGCACCTGTAATCCCAGCTACTCGGGAGGCTGAGGCACGAGAATCGCTTAAAACAGGAGGCAGAGGTTTGCAGTGAGCCAAGGTCATGTATGCCATTGCACTCCAGCATGGGCAAAAGAGTGAGACTCGGTCTCAAAAAAAAAAAAAAAAAAAGATCAATCATACATAATAAAATAGTAGAAGGGCTGTATATAAGTTACAAGATATTCCAAATTAATAGTTTAGGGAAAAAAACATGTAGTATATTTAAGTCATAGCTAAGCCTCCAACTTATGGGGCTTCCTGCTTCCCTATTTGTCCCACTGTGTAAATAAAGTTTTTAAAAATCCTACGTATAAGGGCCTCAATCTGAGACACTCATAAATCCTTCGCAGAAAATACATGTAAATACCTTCCCACTTTAAACTGCTACAGTTTTTGTTGCTTTGTCACAGTAGACACTGACTATACTGAGAGAGATGATTTACCATTTATGTGATATATCTGATATCTTCAAATATTATATGTTATACTATGAAGTTTATAATAAAAGTATGCCAGTTTCCCCTAGTAGAATAACATCCCTTAATAGGAAGATACCATATTTTGTGTCTCAGAATGTCCAGTATATTGGAATACAATGATAAAACCACTTTCGCCCCACAGAATATCTGAGTCACATGTGTACATCATTCCTTATATTCCACTTGCCCATCTTGGTAAATTTCCACATCACTGTCAAAATTAACAACATCATTCTTACAATACTAGATTGACAATTTAGGCAAAATCAGTATATCCTCTCTTGTGTTGTCTCCAACATTAAATCACAAAGTTCTGTCAATTCTCTCAGCAGTCTCTGAGAAGTCTCAATTCTCTATTTGGATTTTGTTTCTATTTATAAATCTTTGTCCAGGTCCTCATCTCCTGTACTTGGGCTTAGCAACCACTCTAGTCCATCATACATGTAAAACTAGATCTTTAAGAAATTTTTTTTTTAACTACCAGTTGGGTAGTATCTTGATTATTTGAACGATGAGTTCAATAGAAGCCCAAACCCCAGAGTTATGCAATATACCCATGTAACAAAACTGCACATGTGCCCCTTGAATCTAAAATAATGTCTTAAAATTAAAAAAAAGAAAAATGTAAAAGAAATGTTTTCATTTAATCTCTTCCTTCCTAATTAACTCCTAGAAGTTTTTTGTTTTTGTTTTTTTAATTCTCCAGCTAAACAAATTTAAAATGTATATGCAACGCTCTTTGCCAGTTTCTCCCTGTCCTTCCTTCCCCAAGCCTCTCATAAGGCCTGTGGTACTCTACTTATCAGGCTTCTCTGCCAACTCCATATATGCACAGCATGCATACTTTCTTCAAATTTTTATCAAAATTCACATCCTTTAAGAATACTTTCCTAAATTCTGATCATTTCTCCTTTAAAATTTCCTAATTTATATGTTATGTAATAATTGTTCATATGCTTTCATTTTTTTTCCATTCTGCCCTTAAAGATTCCAATATAGCAATATATTCCTGGCCATAGCAATGAATGTTTCTTTTATAACTTGTGACTATTCCTTATAATAATTTCAATTTTTTATAGCTAATTTCATTTACGAGAATGCTGAATCTTCCCACTGAAATTAATCACTTAATTGGTTAATTTTATGTGTCAATTTAACTAAGGCATTGTACCCAGATATCTGGTCAAACACCAGCTTAGCTGTCTGGGAGAAGGTATTCTTTAGATGAGATTCACCATGGAATACTATGCAGACATAAAAACGGATGAGTTCATGTCCTTTGTAGGGACATGGATGAAGCTGGAAACCATCATTCTCAGCAAACTATCGCAAGAACAAAAAACTAAACACTGCATATTCTCACTCATAGGTGGGAAATGAACAATGAGAACACTTGGACACAGGAAGGGGAACATCACACACCGGGGCCTGTTGTGGGGAGGGGGGAAATGGGAGGGAAAGCATTAGGAGATATACCCAATGTAAATGACGAGTTAATGGGTGCAGCACACCAATATGGCACATATATACGTATGTAACAAACATGCACGTTGTGCACATGTGCCCTAGAACTTAAAGTATAATAATAAAAAAAAAGAGATTCACATTTAAATCAGTAAACTGTGAGTAAAGCAGATTATCTTTCATAATATGAGTAGGCCTTATCTAATCAGCTGAAGGCTTTCAAGAGAAAAAGACTGAGGTTGCCCAAGGAAAAAGGAATTCTGCCTCAGGACTGCCTTCAGAATCAAGTTGTAACATCAACTCTTCCCTGGGTCTCCAGCCTGCCAGCCCACTCTACAGATTTCAGACTCTCCAGCACCTACAATTACTGAGCCATTTCCTGAAAATCTTCCCCAGCCCCAGCCCCAGCCCCTGCCACAAACACAAACAATACTCCCATTGATTATGGTTTTCCAGATAACCATTGGCCAATACAGTATTCTCCAGTTTAAAATCCTGTTTAGTGACTATAGAGGATCCAAGATAAGCCCTCATGTCTCACAATTGATTCATTCATTTAAAAAATATTTGCATGTCTGCTGTGTGCTACATTCTGAGGATTCAAAGTTGATTTAACTGATGTCTCTGTTCTCAAGGATTTGAGGGAGATTTAGTTGAGATAAGAGGTAATTAAAATAACATGTAAACATCATAAGGTTATAGGTTATGAGCTCAGGATACTATTCATGGGAACAAAGAGGAAGGATGTATAATTGAGGTTCCTATATCAATAGAACCCCACTTCCCATAGGTAAAACACTGTTGATCACATATTGACCCTTGGAAACCAATTATACACCCTAAGCATATAAAGTAAAACCACAAAAGCACAGTGTGTAAAAACAAACACAATATAAATATTACATTGTTAATATTCCTTTTGGATGATTTCTTTACATGAGCTGAACTGGCTAAGGAATCTTAAAATAGGATTTAGAATATTGAAGAATCTTGTTCCAGTTTGAAAAGCCAAATGGATTAACAGGGATTGGAAAGACACACAAAACCTCACAGTTCATAAACCTCAAGTATACCAGTTAAAATGAATATTGTAGAATGGCGTAAGTCTTTAACTCTTTGAAATGTAATAGCACATTAAATCATAAAACCTTTATTTTGAAATCATCTTAAGTATACACAAAAATGATTAAAATTTAAGTTTATTTAAGAATACTCTCAATTAATTTGTTGTAGCCTTTGCATTTGTTAAGTATGCCATCTTATATTACTAAATATAAAAATTCAGGATCTAGGTTTACAATGTGAAACATAACCTCTAAATTAAAACATTTAAAAAATCACTAACTTAAGCCCGACAGTCAAATCTTTATCAAATAGTACAAAATGGTAAATAAAACAAAGATTTTTTTTGGGCTTTGGTCCTATATTTAAATTAGGAGATTTCTTTAATTCCTAGTAGTCTGAGAATTTCATAACTCTGTGAGACTACTACGCTAAGGACTATTTTGTAAGAACTGCTGTCAGTATTACTGTATGGCATTTTATTCTTCAGGTTAAGTAATCAGAAAAACATTTCCCAATATTAACCAAACCGATATTATTAAATGAACACAGTACTATAATTTTCCACAAGTATTCTATAAGATAAATTTGCTTTGCTTTCTAGAATCACTTAATCACAGAATCTTGGTGTAGCCAGCCTCCATTTTTACAGATGCCACAAGTTGTGATCTACCCAATGATACTGTAGTTTAATCCTTGTCAAATTAGCAGGGGACACAATGGGGCTCTTTTGGTATCCCAAAACCAGTAAAACCTACATCTCCATAAGCAGGCACACAATAAATCTTTGTTAAATGAATAAATGAAATGCTCACAGGTCTGAGATTCTTATAGTCTGAAATCTCATGATCTCACTCCTGAAAGTCTACCTCAACACAGATGCTGTCAAAGACAGATTTTCCTCTGCAACTACAGGGGCTTCCATATACAGTGTAAGAACATACACCATATACAGCAAAGAGATGACACAGTATCACATTAACACTTCATGAAATAATTGAGGCAAATTATCGGAGATCTCTATTGTGCCCATAAAAGCTTTGTATTCAAATACTAATACCTGCTTGCCTAGTTGAGAGCTCCATAACCTCTATGCAGAGGCTGCAAGGCTAAAAAGGCCCTAAAAAACAATTAGGACACCAAAAACAATTAGGACACCAATTAGGACGCCTCATTGTGTCCCCTGCTAATTTGACAAAGATTAAACTACAATATCATTGGGTAAATCACAACTTGTGGCATCTGTAAAAATGGAGGCTGGCTACACCAAGATTCTATAATTAAGTGATTCTAGAAAGCAAAGCAATTTTACCTTAAATATTCTTTTGGAAAGTATGATACTTCAGAGGTCCTATAAAAATAGTTTTTAACCTTGTTTAGGTGATGGAAAGCGTCAAGACTCCAATAAAGCTACAGATATTTCATCTCAAAAGAATTCCCACATGGATAAAACTTTATATATAATATCAGATTTAATGAGCCTCTGAAGTGGTCCATGAAACTCATGTAAGAAACTTCTGTTTTGTAAATTTAAATAGAATTCAATACATTGGAGGTGTGCTAGTAAGTTTGAAAACAAAGCAGTACTTTCTACCTGATTCTTTTGATTTTTAAAAAACAAGTTATATTTATTTTAAATTTCAGACAATAGCAAAGATGAAGAGGTGATTTTACAACTATCAAATAGAAACATGGTTTTGAAGAACTGAAAAATATTAACTTAGATAATTGAACTGTGCTGGTAAATCAGAGTTCCAGATAAGTGACAATCAAACCATTATTATTACATAAATATCAATCCCAATTCTAATAAAACTATAAGAAAAATATTTATTTAGAATTCCGAAGTTAAACAAACATTTGGCCCATTTAATTTTCTTCAATGAGACAATCCATTTAAAGATAAGACTTTAATAAAAACACAAAACTAAGTATAAGCAATTGCATTACTATAATAGCTTAAATTTCTGAAAGATTAAACATCAATCATGTATTTTAAAAGTGAAACAGTCTCATCGCATCCTAATTTATAATTAAGATTGGTTAAGTATGTTGAACTACAACATTAATTTGTTCAGTATTTGTATTTCTAAGGATAAAATTTAAAATGCTTTCAACTGTATCAGGAAAGAAAGCTGAGAGGGCTGACTTATCATAGAGAAGGAAAGAAGTAACAATTACACAATTCTTTAGAGGTTAATTAAAAGTAGGCAAGTAATACCGATGTTAAGGATTTTATAAACCATCTGCACAACAAACCAAAAGCATGCTAATATCTGCTCTTGTAGTTTAGTTTCTGATGTACATCTTTTGTGCAAATTTCTCCTAGGATTTCTCTTGTCTAAAGAGTGTCCCCAGGGAACCAGCAAGAAGAAATTCTGTGATTATGTTCTGATGCAATAAAGGCAAAGACCTTTCTAATCCTGAATTTGAGAAAAATAATGACTCTGCCCCAATTGTGACAGCAATACCCCCATCAGGAACATGAAAATAAAATGGCTATAATTTCTGGTATATTCCTTTTGTCTTTTCAGTTGAACGATACCTAATTTTCTTAAAGTTTTTTTCAGTAAGTTACGAAATCATAATCGTATGTTTTATTATAAATTACAAATTACCATTTATTGAATTCACAAAAGGAAAACATTTAAATAAGCTTATGTAACATGTTTACAGCAACATGAATTCTGGATTCTTCAATGTTCCACTTATAAATTATTATACTTAGGAACTGTGAATCTAGTACCGTGTTTACTTGAATAATTGTACATTTCCTTCACATAAATTACACTGTGAAAGGGATCAGGAAATGAGGCAAATATCAGGATCTTAGTCCACAGTAATCTTTATAATTACAATTTATCTTCTGGATCCTTATTTCTGTTTATCAAAGAATGGTACACTTCCTAAAAATTGCAAAGATAATCAGTAGCAGAGTTAAGTTAGAAGAATCTAGATTTAATGCTTCTCTTCTCTTCAGCTGTTTTAGTTTTCTAAGAAAGGCTACTTAAAGCTAAAGATACATATTGGGTGAGGCCTTATAGGGCAGACTTCATATGTGAATACCTGTACGCATGACAACAGGAATTCAAAGAACCAGGGTTTTACTCCCAAAACTTGCCACTAACCTGCTTTTGTGACACCAGGCATATAACTTGTAAGGGACTTAGTTTTTGCCACCTGTAAAATAAGGATGTTGAAACGTGATCTCCAAGGTCATTTCCAATTAAGATGCTTGTGTAAGTCCACATTTATGTAAGTATACGAATAACAGAATTACAGTAAAACCATGTGAGAGTATGGACATAGGTATACATGTAGGAAGGACAAAGAAATGTGTAAAAAAAAATAAACATTCAATGTTTACATTTGGAGTTTCCTTTCACAGGCAGGGTTTAGACTTTCGATAAAGAAAGGCCCAGAAGACCCACTACTCTCATCCAAATTCCCATCATGCTCCTTTTATGCCACAGCTATACTAATATCCACAAGCAGTATAACCTAAGAGTGTGCTTTCCCCACAATATAACCATTCTCATATCCAGTCCAGGGTAGACTGATCCAGTCTATCTCAATGAGGGTTGGCAAGCTTTTCTGTAAAGAGTTTAATAAATATAGGTTTCCTTTCCCTTCTCAATAGTGCCATCCGTCAAGACAGTGCTTGCTGCCAACGCTGACTTCTAACAAATTACTTACTCTGGCCCTCTGACAAGAGCCAGTCCTTGACTCTTCTTGATCCTGACAAATAAACTCCTGGTACCACTGTATCAAGTTTTTATTGCTACTTAACTCCTTTTTCCCTCATTAATTCAAAGCTACAACTTCACGACTTCATCCATCTTGAACCCCAAATGTCAGTATTACTATCACTCACCATTGGCCCAGAAAGATGGTAAGAAAATAGAAACAAAAAAAGAAGGGGACAGAGACAGGGTAGGTTCAGGTGAAGGACAGGTGAATGGTAGTATTACCTCCCTTTTCTAGACTCTAAAAAGGAACCAGGTACTACGTTACTGTTAATTTAAATTAAAATGTCTACTTCAGTGGGAACAGAGAACATTTCACTTTATGCAAAGTGCTCCCTAATGAAAGAATTGTTATAACAGGGGGGAAAAAAACCTCAGTAAGCTTTTTTATTATGCTTTTATCTAGATCACTCTGCTTCCAGCTGTGAAACTGACTGATGTTGTTAAAGCTCCCAAGGAGCCTCTACAAGAAACCATGGTTACTGGTTCAAAACAGTATCAAAAAAAAAAAAAAAAAAAAAAAAATTAGGAGGGGATAGCAATTTGAAGAGAAAAACACTTTTCTTAAATTTCATCAAATGAAGCTACAGCAACAAGGAGTAGGTTGATGGCTGGGCAAAGGCTTCAAGATGATAACTTCTCTATGAGCCGTCAAGGTGCTTGATCTCTCAGCCCAGAAGGCCCAGCACCTCAAGGGATCATTTTACCTTGCCCAAGAGTGATCCCCCAAAGCTAATTTAGTTATTTACTATGGACAATATCTTATAAACTCAAATAATATTCTCTTCACAAGGTCACTGAGTTTGCTTTACACAGAAGCTTACTTGGAAAAAAATTAAGAGCACAAGGTTGCTTAATAAGTATATGAATCTGAGCCTAACGGTACCTATTGTTTTAATATAAAGCTGCCTAAGTCATTCTTACCAATCTTTTTCAAAAAGTTTTCATCAAATGCTCGTCTTTTCAAACCCCTTAGCGACGTTTTCAGTTATTAAATAATTCATTCCTTTCACATTTGAGAACCTATCATGTTTCAGGCACTGTATGAGACACTGGATATATCACAATAAAGAAAACAGCTTTTATGGAGCTTATAAACTAATGGAGAAAAGAGACATTAAATACATGATTGCAAATTGTGTTAATGTGCTAGGAAGAAAAAAATAAAAGGTATTTACTGGGATTTCAAGAAAACTTTTTTTTAATTTTTAAAGAGATCAAATCCCCACAGCTATTGATGGTGGGTAATGGATACATAGAAATGGTGATGGATTCATCATACTCTCTACTTTTGTATATATTTATAAATTCTTAAAATAAAAATTTAAAAATGAGAGAAACAGGAAGAGACCTGAAAGATAAGTAGGTGTTAAAGAAGCAAAGCATGTCAGAGAAGAGTGTTCTCTAGGCCAATAGAAGAGTAGATGCATCAATTCAGAGAACTGGGGAGCTTGGCATATTAGAGGGATTGAAGGAAAGACTAAAAGATAGCCTGGCCTCTAGGAACTATTTTTTAAAAGCCCCACCAAAAACTAAAGAACTCTCACATCCACAAGCTACAGATGGCAGATATTCCAAATAGTAATAATGGAAGCTAACTTTTTGAGCCTTCACTAAACGCCAGGCAGTGTGCTAAGAGTTACTACACTTTATTTCATAGATGTCTTAGAACAATCTATAAGAAAGATACAATTTTTTCCTAGTTTGCAGGGGAGGAAACTAAGGCACAGAGAGATCAAGAAACTTGCCTAGAAATGTCTGATTGCAGAACCTGTACTTTTTCTTAACTACAACCATATATACTGCTTACCACATGTCCAGTTGACATTATTATTATGTTTTACTTAAGAGTTCTAAATTCTTGGTCCATTTCCACAATTAGCTTGGGCTTTGTGCTTAAATTATTTCTTGCTCATTTCACAAAATGGGATAGTAGATTATATATTAAGGTCTTCCTAACTTTTAATGTACCTTTCCAATTACATTACTATTTTTTATACCAGAAGTTTATACTTACAGTATTTTATAGATCATATGATATAATTTAGACAATTATCTAAATTTTGATAATTTATTAATCATTCAACAAATACTGGTCACCTTCATGACAGGTGCTCCACTAGGTGTTAGGAATACAGTAGTAAGCAAAATCGTTCAAAATCTCTGCCTGCATGCTATTTATAATTCAGTGAGAAGAGACAGACAATAAATAAAACAAATAAACAATACAGTATGTTAGAACATGGTAAGTCCTATGGAGAAAATAAATCAGGAAAGGAGCACAGGAATTGCTGATTTCCCCATGCCTATCATGAGCAGGAATTTGTTGGGCACTAGGGCAAATAAAGACAAGCAATGTCTGATTCCCTGCATTGAGCTGACTACAGTTTGGTAAACACAAATATGAGGAATTCTACAAAAGACAAATAAACAAAGTGCCATGGGTCCACACAGGGAAGAGCTACAAGGCAGAAGAAACTGAGTTGCAACCTGGATTTTACTCTTAAAAACTAAAAAGAAAAAAAATTTCCTAAAAAGAATGTGAGACATATTTATTAAATCCACATTTCAAAATTTTATAAAACCTTATTGATAAATATTTTGAGAAGATTTGAAAAAATAGAGACACACTATTTTCCTATTTGAGAAAACTATAATTAAAAATATCAAAGTTATAAGCTTAATACAAATCAAATAACTATAATATGTTTTAGAAGCATAATCTTGTAAGAGTCTCTACTACAATTAAAAAAGTAAATGTAAGAAAAGCCAAGGAAGTCTTGAGAAACGGGAGTACTGAGAGTAGATATGCTCTCATGATTATGAAAAGATACTGACATGCTTTTCTCATTTGCTTTTCCTTCCACTGACTTCCCTCCTATTCTATGAGTAGCATCCATATATTTGGTAAAGTTTAAAAATGAAAAGAGAAAGAAATAGTTAATATTTACCTTATGAATTAAAGAAAGAATTTTACACTAAGATAAAAGTTTTTGAAAGTCTGGTTTTCCCAAAGAAGGAATTTGTTAGACACTAATATTTTCTGGCCAAGATTGAAAAGAGTAGGATTATAGTTTCTTCCACAGTACAGAGCAGATATCCCTTCTGCTCATGACAGTCAGAACATGGGGCCTGTCAATTAGGGTAGAAAGATGATATAAATTAGAAAAAATATGAATTATAGCCCCAAACTCCTGATTCTGGATGAAGGATTGTGGGATTAAAAGGTGAGACAGAGACAGAAGATGCAAGTGACCAATACTCCCATCATCATCTTTCAGGCAGATGGGGCAGAAGAAAAGAATGTCTGATGGAGTAAGGAAATCTGGGAGCTAGAACAGTCAGCTTCACTTCCCACTAAGACTGTACAAAATGACTGCCTTCCAGGAACTTCCCTGACACGTGGCGCGTGTGCGCACAAACACACACACACTTTCATACACACACACACACACACACACACACACACACACCACCAACCTCTTTCCTCTCCCTATGCCTACTCAACAGAAGCTGGAGATAGCCACTCCAAAATATATGCACAGAAACACAGGAAGATTGAGAAGGAATGTGAGATCAGCTCTGGCATCTCCCTTATTTCTCATGTGCCATGGAAGAAGGTACATTTAGGAAATGTACCTTAGGAAACTTCTGTGTGCTCTAAAGTAGTACGGGAAAGGTAACTTAAGATACAGATTGACGACTTTGCCAGAGGGATAAAGTAATTCCATAGCAAGAGGCCTGGAAGAGAGAATACCAGGCTCAGGGGGCCAAGCCAGACTTCAGGCTATCTGTGACACCAGGAAAGATGGACAATGCATTCTAGGAGCAAAAAGAACAGGTCTCAGACAGTTCTGGTAGTACCTCAAACGATAGTTCTGGTAGTACCTCGGTGGCCACAATTCCAGGGAGAGACCAGTAAGAAACCAGAAAAGACAGTAGATAGATTGAGGGTCTTGGTGTGCTTCCACCACTACAAGGTCACACAAGCCAACCCATAAGTCTAGATTCTGTTGTGGGCACGTCTGAGGAAAGAGATAATATTTGAATGAGTAGTATCCAGAAGCTGAAATATCCAAACACAACTATTTAAATTATTGGATAAGACCCAGTTTACCAGATGGGAGTAAGTCTGGTACTCTTCTTCCGGCCATCCAGTGACCAGGGTTCATCAAAAGGAAGAGATAAGAAAAATAAAGAAGCTATATTTTCTTTGCACACCTGAGTATACATAAGGTGTGATCCTACTACAGATTTCATGATGATTATTATATCTGAGAATTCAACAGAAATACCTTGCACATTAGAAACCAATATCACCTTAAGATTAACAGTGGACATTCAATTAAGATGGCAGAGTGAGCCCATTCATCTACCTCTTCTCCTACTAAAGACCTGAGGTCAGAAGGGCCTGGGGGTGTGGGCAGGCCACAAAACGACTGAGTGAAAAAACACCAATGATGGCCAGTACAACTCTAAAGACAAGTAAGTGTCAGCCACAGCATTTATCATGAGTCTAAAGTCTTTGTCTGAGGGCTTATAGTGTGAACTTTGAAATGGAGATAATAGCAGGCTAAAGACAATCTCAACGGAGAGGGGGGAAAAAGGAAGGCAACTCAGAACTAATCAGAACTCTCCCTGCAGAAAAATTCCTTTCCAACAGCAGAAACCGAGGGACAGGGCCCCGCTATTAGCCTTGTCTCTGCAAGTGCATGATAAGAAAAATGAGTCCAGGAACAGTAGCTCACGGTTGTAATCCCAATGAGACTGAAGTGGGAGGATTGCTTGAGGCTGGGAGTTCCACACCAGCCTAGGCAACATACAGAGACTCCACCTCTACAAAAACAGAAAAATTAATGGGTATGGTGGCGAGCACCTGTAGTCCCAGCTACTCGGGAGGCTGAGGTGGAAAGTTTCCTAGATCTTGGGTGGTCAAGGATGCAGTGAGCCATGATCACACTACTGTGCTCCAGTCTGGGTGACAGAATGAGATCCTGTCTCCAAAGAGGGGAGGGGAGGGGAGGGAAAGCCCACCTCTCACTCACCACAGCAAGCGGGAAGCCAACTGCAGAGTCCCATGGTCAGCCATGATGCTCAGTGGGTAAGACAGTATTTTGTAAAGGGGAATAATGAGCTGTACAGAATTACACCAGTTTCCAAGATTTCAAGGGCTATCATTCAACTATCAGCATCAAAAGAATTTAAGGTGTTTATGTGCCCTACTCTAGACTTACTGAATCAGATTTTTGTCCATGGGACCAGGAATCTACATTTTACCTGGGCCGCCAAGCAATGGGTATATACATTCAAGTAAGACAACCACTGATTGTGACCTTTACTTGAAAATACTGTAAAGAAGAAAGCTAACAATCACTGGCCACTTAATAAAAACCAAGAGAGGCAATAAAGTGTAGAAGTAGAGACACAATGACCCAAAGAAAATACAGTAAGGCAACAAAAATAAATAAAATGTTCCTAACTTTATTGGTATCTTGAGAGAGATACAAGAGGCCAGTATATGCACAGAACAACAACAACAAAAATCTGTTCTTATAATAGTCAAGGAACAAGAAGAATTTTGGGAAAATCAAAACAAAAATTATTTTTAAAATGAAATAATGTGACTTTCAGTGAATGTCAAGATGGAATAAGCCCTTTACAGCCTATCTCCCTCACTAATTACAACTAAAAACTCTGGGCAGAATACTAAAAGCAACCTCTTGAAAACTGAAAAATAACAATGTCAGGTGCGTTGGAGAAGAAAGTCAAAATATGAAGAATAACCAATATGAAGGTGAGTTTACTATTTTTTTTTAATCCTTCCTTTATCTACCACTTTGACCTGAGGGTGGGCAGAGTCCCAGAATTAGGCAGCAGACACACATGGCAAAACTCCAGGAGAAACCCCCTCTTTCTAGTGGGTGTAAAACAAGCATCTGTGGGCTACAGTGTGTGGTTTGGAGCAGTACGAGGGGAGTTCCCAGTTTCTTTTTTTTTTTTTTCTTCTCTGCTGACTCTGCCTCAAAGCCAGTCTGTTATGAAGCTGCACTACTGAGGCAGCACATCTGAAAGCCTAAGAGAAACCTGTCCTTCTGTCCTGAGAAACGGGAAAGGGTCCAGGGTAGTAGGAAGAATATGGGAAGAATCTTCACTATGTATTTCTCTGGGGCAAAACAGTGGGGGAGGGTGACACTAAGACTCTAAGAGAAAGAATAACCCCTGCCACTAGTGAAAGGACTAGGAAAAGAGGCTCCTGGGAGCCAGACAGCATAAGGAAAGTCTCTGAGAGGACAGAGATCTAATTCCAAGTTGCATATGTGTAGAAAAAACATAAAGAAGTATAGCAAGCTGGCCAGGCATGGTGGCTCACGCCTGTAATCCCAACACTTTGGGAGGCCAAGGCAGGCAGACTGCCTGAGCCTAGAGTTTGAGAGCAGCCTTGGCAATGTGGTGAAACCCTGTCTATACAAAAACAAAAACAAAAAACAAAAATTAGCTGGGCATACTCTGGGGCTGAGGTGGAAGAGCTATGGAGGCAGAAGTTGCAGTGAGCTGAGATTGTGCCACTGTGCACCTGCGGTCCCAGCTGCTAGGAAGGCTGAGCTGGGAGAATCCCTTGAGCCTGATGGGTAGATGCTGCAGTGAGCCCAGATCATGCCACTGCACTCCAGCCTGAGCAAGAGAGGAAGATTTTTGTCTTAAACAAACAAACAAACAAACAAACAAAAAGCCTCAAGCAATTCTCACACCTCAGCCACCCAAGTAGCTGGGACCACAGGCGCACATCACCGGCCCAGCTAATTTTTTTTTTTTTTTTTTTTTTTTTTTGAGACCGAGTCTTGCTCTGTCGCCCAGGCTGAAGTGCAGTGGCACGATATCGGCTCTTTGCAAGCTCCGCCTCCTGGGTTCACACCATTCTCCTGCCTCAGCCCCCTGAGTAGCTGGGACTACAGGAGCCCGCCACCACGCCCAGCTAATGTTTTGTATTTTTAGTAGAGGCGGGTTTTTTCCATGTTGCCCAGGCTGGTCTCCAACTCCTGAGCTCAGGTGATCCACCCGCCTCAGCCTCCCAAAGTGATGGGATTACAGGCGTGAGCCACCGCCCCTGGCCCCAAATGAATCTTTAACTCAATGCAATCGTAATTAAAAATCCTTCATATGTTTACTTTTTAATTTGATGAATATATTCTCAAGTTAATTTGGAAAAATATCAAAGAATAAAACAGTTTTGAAAAACTAATAAAAGAGGACTTTAAAGCTACAATAACATTAAAAATACATCATAATTATGCTGTGACAGATAATTAGATCAAAGGAACATTAATAGAGACAAAGAAATATACGTGTATATGAAAATCTTACATTGGGTAAACTATACTTTGAAATCTTGGTAAAAATGAAACATTTACTAAATGCTATCAGAACTAATAATCTAGATTTCTACATATCATTTATAAAAATTATGAAAGATTAAATACTTAAAAATATTTAAAGAAGACGAAAGACCAATAGCCAATAAACATATGACAAAAGGAAGTCAAAAATCTGTAACTTAAGTGGCATTCCTTTTTTAATCTTTTAGATTGCCATTATGTTAAAAAAAAAATCTGTGAATGTGTCTGCATTCATTGAGATGTATGAAGCATTTGGAAATTTCTACACTAAAAAAAGAGAAAAAATGTAGAGGAAAAAGTAGATCTGAATACTTAAACATTTCAAAACTTCTATACATAAAAAAAATCACAAAGTAAAAAGGCAAACAGAAAGGGTAAATGTATTTGCACAAAACATGACAAATATTCTTAATATATTCAAAATTCATATATAATGCTACAAAAATTGGTAAGACTCCAATGGATAAGTGGATAGAGAACTCTAAATACAACAAAGAAACAAATTAAAATGAAATGCAATTATCTACATGCCAATTTAGCAAACACTAGGGTGGGGGAACACCCAATGGGATAATGTGGTGAAGCAGGCATGCTCACTTGCTGACAATGAGGAAAGGCTGACACAATCTTACTAAGGAGCAATTTGACATATTAAGAAGAAAGAACCTTAAAAAAAGCCAACAGTATTATTAAAATTTGGGAAAGTCTTCAATTCTAGCCTCACATTTGACAGCTGCATTACAGGAAAAGTCACATACCATTTTGAACACCGGTTTCTTCAATGTAAAATATCAATATCAGTCACTAATTCATAGAGTTGTAATATTTAAAAGAGAAACAAAGCCTGTAAAAACGTCTGAAATACTGCAAAGCACAGGGTTGCCCAATGGTCTGTGAACTTTAGGAAGTTTTCGAAGATCTTCAAACTCTGACTGAACATGTGTGAATGTTTGTGAAAAGATCTACACAGCTTTAAGCAGACTCTCAAAGGGGCCCTGATCCAAAAGAAAACTGAAAACCACTACAGGCATGGAAAATAAGAGAAGGAATTTTCTTCCCAGTGCCCAACTGTTGCCTGACACACTATAGGCCCAAATTAGGAATTCACTATAAAAATCCAGATAGTATTTAAGATGATATTCAACTTACCCTGTTAATTTCTAAGCCCCTCAGAGTAGTATTTAGTGATTTCTGAGGAGATTAACTCATTCTCTGATATAGCTGTAACTGGAACCTGAAATTAGGAAAACAGTAAGTCAATCAATTGGATCTACTTGGATCAATCACATGAAATTAATGCAGTCTACTTTGGAAAATGGGTGGGGGGAGCAGTAAATAAACTTAATATATTTAAAGTACTATTCTGAATTCATTAAGATATGCATAATTAATATATAAACTACACTGGGACATTTCTCTTGAAGCAAACAAAAACAAAATTGTATATATTTTAATAAAATGGAATATAGATAATTAACATTCTACAAAATACTTCTTTTTTATCATTTGAAAAATAATAGCTTTTTAAAAAATTGACATTTAGTAACTATATTTATGGGGTACGGTGATATTTCAATACATATATAGAATGTTTAATAATCAAATCAGGGTAATGGCATATCAATCACCTTAAACATTCATCATCTTTGTGTTAGGAACATTCAAAATCCTCTCTTCTAGATATTTAAAGATACAAACTAAATTCTTGTTAATGATAGTCACCCTACATTGCTACAGAACACCAGAACTTATTCTTATCTAACCTATAATTTTGTATCTGTTATCCAACCTCTCCCAATACCTGCCTCCCGATTATCCTTCCTGCCTTTATTAACCACAATTATCTCTCTACTTATACGTGCTCAAATTTTTTTAGCTCCCACAATATGAGTGAAAATGTGCTATATTTGTCTTTCTGTGTCTGACTTATTTAACTTAATATACAGTCCTCCAGGTTCATCCACATTGCTCCAAATGACAGGATTTCATTCTTCTTTATGGCTGAATAGTATTCCATTCTGTATATATATCATATTTTCTTTATCCATTCATCTGTTGATAGATATTTAGGTTGATTCCGTATCTTGGTTACTGTGATATGCTGCAATAAATATGGGAATATAGATATCTCTTCGACATACTGTTATCCTTTATGTTGGGTAAATACCTAGTAGTGGGATTGCTGAAACACATGGCAGTTATATTTTTAGTTTTGAGGAGTATCCACACTGGTTTGCATAATGGTGGTTCTAATTTATATTCCTACAAATAGTGTATGAGTGCCCTTTCCTCCACATCCTTGCCAGCATTTATTTTTTGTCTTGTTGATAATAGCCATTCTGAGGTGAAATAATCCTCATTATGGTTTTGATTTTCATTTCCCTAATGATTACTGAAGTTTAATATTTTTTCCATATATTTGTTGGCCTTTTGCATATTCCTTTTGAGAAATGTCTAGTCAGATCATTAGCCTATTTATTAACTGAATTATTGGCTTTTTGCTGTTGAGTTTCTTACTTATTTTTGATATTAATCTCTTATCAGAAGAATAGTTTGCAAATATTTTCTCCCATTCTTCAGGTCGTCTCTTTACCCTGTTGATTGTTTTCTCTGCTGTGAGGTTTTTTAGCTTGATATAATACCATTTGTCTATTGTTGCTTTTGTTGCACCTGTGCATTTGAAGTCTTAGCCAGGAAATCTTTGCCCAGATAAATATCCTGAAGCATTTCAGATTTTACATTTAAGTCTTAAACCATTTGGAGTTGATTTTTGTATACGATGAGAGATGAGGGTCTAGTTTCATTCTTCTGCATATCCAGTTTTCCCAGCCCCATTTATTGAAGAGGCTTGTCTTTTCCCGAATGTATGTTCTTGGTGCCTCTGTTAAAAATCAGTTGGCTATAAATATGTAGATTTATTTCTGGGTTCTCTTCTGCTCCATTGGTCTATGTGTCTGTTTTTATGCCAGTGCATGCTGTTTGGGTTACTACTGCTTTGCAGTATATTTTGAAGTCAGATAATGTGATGCCTCCAAGGTCCTCTCCCACCCCTCAGGAATTCTTTGCCTATTTGGGGTCGTCTGTGGTTTCATACAAATTTTAGGATCTTTTTTTCTATCTTTGTGAAGAATGTCATTGGTATTTTGATAGGGCTTGTGTTGAATCTGTACATTGCTTTGGGTAGTATGGTCATTTTGACAATATTAGCTCTTTGTTGATCCATGAACATGAAATATGTTTCCATTTTTTGTAGGACCTCTTCAATTTATTTCATCAGTGTTTTGTAGTTTTTATTGTAGAGATATTTCACCTCCTTGGTTAAATTTATTCCTAGGTGGGGTTTTTTTGTGGTTATTGTAAATAGAATTGCTTTCTTTTCCAGGCTAGTTCATTACTGATATATAGAAATGCTACTGATTTTTGTATGTTGATTTTGTATCCTACAACTTTACTGAATTCGTTTATCAATTTTAAAACTGATTAAAAAAAGTGGAGTTTCTAGGTTTTTCTATATATAAGATCATGTCATCTGCAAACAGAGACAATTTGACTTCCTCTTTTCCAATGTAGATGCCTTCTATTTCCTTCTCTTGCCTATTTGCTCTGGCTAAGACTTCCAGTACTATGTTGAATAAGAGTGATGAAAGTGGGCATCCTTGCCTTATTCCTTTCCTTAAAGGAAAAACTTTCAACTTTTCCCCATTCAGTATAATGTTAGCTGTGGGTTTGTCATATATGGCCTTTAACTGTATTGAGATATATTCCTTCTATGTCTAATTTGTTGAGAGATTTAGCATGAAGGGATGTTAAATTTTATCAAATGATTTTTTCTACATCTTTTGGGTGATCATATGATTTTGTACTTCATTCTGTTGATATGATGAATCACTTTTATTGATTTGCATATGTTGAACCATTCCTAGGATAAATCCCACTTAGGCATGGTGTGTGATCTTTTTGATGTGCTGTTGGATTCAGTTTGCTAGTATTTCATTGAGGATTTTTGCATCTGTGTTTATCAGGAATATTGGCCTGTAGTTTTCTGTTTCTGTTACATGTTATCACCTTGGAGCTGAAGAAGCTGGCAGCCCGAAAAAACCCATAGGCCCAGACTCCCCCCAAAACCAACCAGCCAAACAAAACAAAATCCTGTTCTCTCCAGGCAAAGAATAAGGAAAGAGACAATCCAGACAGAGCACATTATACCTAGCCAAACATCACCAAAAACACAAAAACAGAAGTAAAAAACAACTCTGTGCCTGTAGCTCCCACTCCCACCAGCAAAGGTGAAGTAGGGAGCCTAGATGTCTGCTCTCCTCCGGCTGTAATAAGGCACTCAATTCTCCCCACAATGGTGATGTCAGAGAAGGCCAGTAGGGAGCCAGTCCCTGCCACGTGATAATGAGACCTCCTTTTCCACAGTGTCAGTGAAGACCACATGGAGAGCTTGGACCTTCACCTAGTAGTAACAAGGTACCCTTCTCTCTTTCTGCCACAGGCTGTTTTTGGAGAAGCCTAGCAGAGTCAGGCCTTTCACCATCACACAGTAAAGAGACTATCACCCTGTGGAGGATATGTGGGGAACCATAATGACACATTCCTGCCCCTCCCAGCCAGGGAGAAATCAATGTGGGCAAGAACTCCCATCCATGACCAGCAGTAACAAAGAATCTCTCCCTAAATTGAGTGTCAAGAGAGGCAAAGTAGAGAACCTGGACTTGTATCCCCACAGGAAAGTAATGAGGCTTCCCTCCTTCTCATGCGGGGGCAGGGCCAGAGAAAGCCAACTAAATCAGAACATTTAAATAAGACCCAGAGTGTCAGCATGTAATACTAAAAATGTCCAGGTATCAAATAAAAATCACTCATCATACCAAGATCCAGGAATATCTCAAACAGAATGAAAAAAGGCAATCCACAGATGCCAATACCAAGATGATGGAGGTGTTAAAATTATCTGAAAAACATGTTTAAGCAGCTGTCACAAAAATGACTCAAGGAGCCATTACAGACATACTTGAAACAACAAAATAACTGAGAGTCTCAAAAACAAAGCAAGATATAAAGAACATACTGCAAAGAAAGAAAAGATATAAAGAAGAACCAAATGGAAATTTCAGAACTGAAAAATAGGTAAAACAAAAGATGTAATGGATGGATGCAACAGTAGAATGGAAGGGACAGAGGAAAGAATCACTGAACCAAAATATAGAACAATAGATACTATCCAGTCTAAACAACAGAGAAAAAATAGCCTGAAAACAAATAATTAGAGCCTCAAGACCTAACAAAAGATCTAACGCTAACAAAAGATCAAGCTCTAACAAAAGATCTACCTTCTGCCATGGAATCCAACAAGGAGAGAAGAAAGTGGGCTGGGCTGAAAAAGTGCTCTAAGAAAAAAACCAGACAATTTTCCATGTTTGGCAAAACACATAAATTTACAGATTCAAGAAGCCGAGTGAACCATAAACAGGATAAACCCAAAGCAATCCACATTAAAGCATATCATAGTTAAACTTCTGAAAGCTAAAGACACAGAAAGTGTAATAAAAACAGTAAGAGAGAAATGATAATTTACCTATAAGAGAAAATAATTCAAATGACAGCAGACATCTCATCAGAAACAAAGGAGAAATGAAAGAAGTGGCACAACATTTTTTACTGACGTCCACACCTGATCATCTGTGTCTATTTTTGCATCTGTTTTTTCTCTTGTTCTGGTTCTTGGCATGTCTGGAATCTGGGGACTCAATGTCAAACACTGTATCATTAAAAACCATAAAGGATGTGAAATTTATCTTCAACTGAAGAGTTTCTTTACTTTCTGGTTGGCAGCGGGAGCTAATAAAATCAGAGATCAAGCTAACTTGAAGCTTGTTTTCAATCTTATTAAGACCTAGTCTACTCCTGGTTCACTCTTACTGCTAGGATGCAGTTGTTCAACCTAGGGTGTTTACCAGGACGCCTCTATCTCTAGCACCATGAAACTGCTGAAAACTCTGCTGAGCTTAGTTTGTTAGCAGCCACTTTCTGCTCAACTTTCCTGCTTATTGGTTTGTGTTGCTTACTAAGCTGTGACAACTCTTAAGGGAAACATGATTCAGACTTATAGGCTCACTTCTCTGTGACTGTCTTCGCCACTCAAGCTCTAGCTACCTTGGTAACCATGAACTCCAACAGTCTCTCATCAGGGTTTGGGGACCTCTAGTTTAACTGAGTGAACCTGTCTTATATGGCAAAGGTAGATTAACTCCTTGAATTATATAGCTCTTTCAATATCAAACTCTGTTGAAAAAGCATCAACGACTTCTCATACAGAAGAATAAAGTCCTACCTCGTTAGCTACAAGTCCACTCAGAATTCTGTCCTTATATATGCCTAACCTCCTGCCTTATTCTCCAGTCAATTCCTACTGTCAGGTCTTTCCTCAGATAAATCCCTCTTCCTGGAGTAGCACTCCCACCTCCTGGCTCCCAAGAGAATCCATATTCTACTAAACTTGCAAACCCCAGTTCAAATTCCTCTAAGAACTCTTCATCAACCAACTTGTTGCCCATCCCCCTTACTCATTAAGGTATCTGAGAACAGGTTCTGTATGTGTATGTTTTAAATTCTTTTTTAACTCAACATTATTCTGTTGTTCATTAAAAAAAAATACTACTAATAATTTTTCAGTACCCACCACATGCCAAGCTTTTCTAAGCACTGGTTTTACAGCAGAGAACAAAAAAAGATACAGTCCCAGTTGTCACAGTGCTAACACTTATATGTAATGGATATGAACTATTCAGGTATTACTTTTGCATAATATATCAAAATTTTCACTGTTGGCCAATTAGGTTGTCTTCAGCTTTTACTATGATAAGTAATAGTATTGTGAATGCAGCTCTAATATAGCTTTTTTTTATTCTTTATTTACTTAGGGTCAATTCCCAAGAGTAAGATCATTAATCCATGCCCTTAGATATGTTTATGGCTTTTAAGATATATACTACCATACTACCTCTCAAATGAGTTATTCCAATTCCAAAAGCAATGCATGAGTACTTGATTCCCTATGGACTTCTTTATTATGGTTACTCAGTAAGTATAAAAAAAGTTATTCACTATTGTTTTTAACTACCAATGATGTTGAACTCTTTTCCTTAAGAGCTAATGGGCATGTCCTTTATTAATGTAGTTACTGGAATCTTAGTGTTGTAAATATTTTCATAATACAGTAATCATGTAAGGTCATATTTGTGTTTTCCACTTTGTTATTTTTCTTTTTAGTTTTAATTGTGTTGGTTTTCTTCATACAGATGTGCTTAGTTTTTATAATCACTTCTTTACAGTCTTCTTACTTTAGAAGATTACTATTCTTTGCACAGTTTCACGAGTTTTTCCAATTTAAAAAGGTCAACCATAACATTTGCATATGAAAAGGCTCTACATGAACTTTCCTAACTGCCATCTGATCATCCCAAAACTTATTAAACAATTCTACCACTGACAGATTTTATGCTTGCTCACTGTACACTAAATTACTAAACTAGATTTTCTTAATACTAAAGATACTTGTTTTTCTTAAAATAATATTTTCAGGTTTCTGAAACTAGAAGTATCAGAAATAAAATCCAAAAAAATTTGCCAGTAGCCAAGCAAAAGAGTACGTTGTGAGGTATGTCACTGCCTACCCATGTGTAAACCTATGGAAAATACATTCCCATAGAAGGTATCTGTCAATCCAACCATGACCACAGCTGAGTTAACTGCACAGGTAAACTCAGATAAGGTTGAATTTTAACTTAAATTTGAAAGCATAACTTGCTTGAAAATGTTTTCAGAGAGACTGAACCGTGTCAAAGCACTGAAATAAAAAGCTATTGTAATGCAAAAGTTGTCTGTTGCAAGCCAAGCAAGGGCAATTAAAGGCAGTAAAAACTGCACAATCTCTCAAAACAGATCATAGAATTATCAGAGCTGGAAGACACTGGTGTGACTAATTTGCATTTTACAAAGTACTATCACCCAAGTGCTGGATATCAATCTGTCAAAAGTTTCCAGCTGACTCAAAAAGGAAGTTATTTAATTCACGGCTTATCTATAAAAAAACTGAAACCATGAGTTCAACCAAAAAGAAAAGCAGTTAAATTCTACACATTTCCATATGACTCAAAATTATACTGGCAATCATAATGTGTAAAGAGACCAAGAAAGCAAGCACAGGTAAGGAAAAGCAGCATGTCAGAATTTGGAAGACGATTACACTCAATCTTATGATTCCCAAAAAGATGAGGTAGAAGTTATATGGATAAATGTATACTTCTGTCAGTAAACCTTTAAGGATTTAAAAAATAAACTTAATGTTTCTTTTTTCATGAAAATATATTAAATCTGTGGCATATGTCACAATTAATAGTGTTTGAATTGAGAAAATGCACTTTGTGTGTGAGTATATGTGTCTACATTTATTCGATTACTAATTTATTCACTCATTCATTTGAGTAGAGAAAAGCAAGATTAGAAAAACAGATAACAAAACTAAAGATATAATGCATGAAGGTCAAACACTTTGAAGAGCCTAAACATTACTGTGATGCAGAAAAATACAAAATATATAAAGAAAATATAATCCAGCTGAAAAATGACAACCAGTTAGATAAACTAGCAACTAACAGAAACAAAGAAAAAACTCATAAAATTAAAAGTAAATACCAGCAAACAGAAATAGCTGAGAAAAAGCAAATAAGTATGGGTCTTAATTCAGTTAAAAGTACTAAGAACTTATTTAAACTATGTGGCAACTGACCAAGACTCAGAATACCATAATTCTTGATCAACTACCCTACTACTGCAGTAGGTACCCGACACTGAAACTGAGAGGAGAATGCATGAAGTGAAATCATCTGTTTATCATCATCAAAGAGTTTGGACCACAGACAACTAGGGACTCTTCTGCCTCAGTTACTGACAAGCCAAACACCTGAAACACTGAGATCAAACCAACTTGTTTCTTAACTTCTTTAACTTAGGCCCACATCTTAATCCACAGAAAAAGGAGGAGGAGAAGTTACTCAAGAATTTCCACAAATAGCCATGATGGAGTAACAGAGATTAGATTTGTTGTCCCAGTTTATACTACCAGAAAACTGGATAAAACAGATGAAACAATGGCTTTTAGATATTAGATACCAGTCAGAGCAGGAGTGGGATTCCTGAGAAAAGATGAAAAAATGATGTGAGTCCTACATTTGCCTGACCTCACACCCTTGAAGCAATTTACAGGATGTAGTGTAAAGAAGGGAGATGGGGCTTAAACAGAACCTTACAGTCTCAAAGAGTTGAGGTCACAAAGATTGACACTTAGTGGGGCCAAGGCAGCCAGAATTTGTGGACTAGCCTAACAGAAAGAAACTACATACAGAGACAGTGCCTTGGAGACATGCAAAGGAGTTCCCACAAGCTGTTAGGAGAGTGCTGATATGTCCTGTGTGGAAGGAAACCACCTGAGGTTGGAGAAAGGACTAGCAAACAAAAAAAAAAAAAAAAAAAAACAAAAAACAAAAAAAAAAAAACAAAGGCCAAATAATTTCTGAAACTCTCACACAAGGCTATGAATAGTTTGTATTCCAATAGGGTAGAGTAAAAAGACCTCCCAATCCATGAAGTATCATGTAAAGTCCTCAGAAGGGTATCAACTTCTAAATTAGCTCTAGGAGAAAAGTCTACTCACTGCTCCAGACTCACCCTAACAAAGCCTCCTTAAAACAAAACAAGTCTTAAAGGGCATCAAAAAAAATTTAACTGCATGCCAAAACTTAGACCAACATTACTTAAAAGAATGGCCTCTTCGGCCGAGAGCGGTGGCTCACACCTGTAATCCCAGCACTTTGGGAGGCCCAGGTGGGCGGATCATGAGGTCAGGAGATCGAGACCATCCTGGCTAACACAGTGAAACCCCGTCTCTACTAAAAATACAAAAAATTAGCTGAGCATGGTGGCAGGCACCTGTAGTCCCAGCTACTCAGGAGGCTGAGGCAGGAGAATGGCGTGAACCCGGGAGGTGGAGGTTGCAGTGAGCCAAGATTGCACCACTGCATGCCAGCCTGGGTGACAGAGCGAGACTCTGTCTCAAAAAAAAAAAAAAAGAAAAAGAAAAAAAATGGCCTCTTTATCACAAAACCTAGCATCCAGTAACGTGAAATTTACAATGTCTGACAATCAAAATTTACCAGACATGTAAATATGACCTATAACCAGGAGAATATCAATAAAAACAGACCCAGAACTGACAGAGAACTTAGCAAACAGAGATGCCAAAAGAGTTATACATATTCTCAATACATTCAAGAAAGCAGAAAAAGATATGGAAGTGTTGAACACAGAAATGCAAGACTGTTTTTAGGCCCAATTGGAGCTTCTAGAAATTAAAAATACAAAATCTGAAATGAAAAATACACTGCATAGGACAGCAGATTTAACACTTAGTTAACTTAAAGATATAGCAATAGAAGATTTCCAAAATGAAGCACAAAGGAGAAAAATACAAAAATAATGAAAGCGAATACCACTGATTTGCAGCAACACACAAACAAGCTAAGATCAATGTAACTGAGGTCCAAAAAACAGAGGAAAAAAAAAGATAAAAAACATACTTGAAGAAATAATGAGCATAATTTTTTCAAATGCTATCAAAACCAGAAACTTACAGATTCATAAGAGGCTCAACAAAATCCAAGCAGGATAAACAAAGAAAATCACACCGACAATTATCATAATCAAATTGTTGAAAACCAGTGATTGGGGGGAAAGAAATGTTAAAGACTGCCAGAAGAGGAAAAAAGATTGTGTACAGAAAAACAAAGGTATGCATGAGAGCAAACTTCTCATCAGAAATTATACAAATAAGAAAACAATGGCGCAAGATTGGAAGGGGGGGAACCTGTCAACCTCAAATTCTGTACCCTACTAAAATATATTTCAAAATGAAGGTGGAAATGTTTTCAGACAACAGCTGAGAAAAATCCATTAGCAGCAGATTTTGCACTTAAAGAAATGATTTTTAGGCAGAAGAAAAAGATTATCAGGTCCAAATTTTGATCTACACAAAGGAGAGTGCCAGCAATGGTAAATACGTTAATAAATATAAACAATATCTTTAAGTTTTGAGTTTCTGGTTGTTTTTTCTTTTCTCAATTGTTTTAATTTCAAGAAAAATCTGTGCTTACAATAGAAACTAAAAAAAAGCAGTAACCTCCCCCAAAAGAGTTTTACTGCACTGAACCATTAAAAAAGTCATACTGATTTTATAATATTAATTGGGCATATTTCCATCTTTTCTATAATCTCTAAAATAGTTCTCACCATAGGAATTATATGTTCCTTGAAAACTAAAAAGAATTAACTGGCAAAAATTGGTTCTGGAGCTAGCTGGATGTAGCTCCAGACCAACTTTTCTTAAATCAGCTTGGGTGTTCCATAATTCATTTCAAATAAATCAGCTTAGAGTTAATAAATAGTATTCGCTTACTATTTTTTAAACATCTTTTCTATTCTTATATCTGCTTTACAAACTTAATTTTGGTTTTCCATCTTTTCCTTTGTAAGATTTGTCAGATATTTTTCTATTTTGTTTTTCAACCCTAAGAAGTAGCTTTTAGATTTTTCATTTCTGTGGTTTCTGTTTTTTAATTCACCTATTTCTGCTTTTATCTTATTAATTTCTTTCCTTTCTCCTAGGCATTTATTTTGTTGAGTCCGTTTGTTTTACTAAATTCTAAGGTTTAGTGCTTAGTACATTTATTTCATTCATTAACAAAGACTATTAATCTACTTCTAAGCACAGTATGAGTCTTAGCCTGAATCTCATTTCAGGTGCTAAATGACCACTTATTGTACATTTGATCTCCTGTTTGACCCGGTATTTATTTAAGCAATTTTTTTGTTTGATTTGTCCAAATGGTTAAAGTTGTATATTTTAAATTTCTGCTGCAGTCAGAGAGAATGGACATATGTAGTTTCAGCTTTTCTGGAATTTACTGAGATTTTCCTTTGTGGTTTAATCTAAAATTGATTTTTTAAAATGTTGCATTGACTGGAAAACTGGAAAAATCAACTTAATCCCAAATTTAGATATAAGCTTCATAAATAACTAAATAAACCCCAAATCATCAATGCAGGTTTTACACTACATTTATTCAGGCTTACAATTTTTACTAGCATTAAATGCATCCATACAATATGAAGAGTAAGGACAGAGATTCTCGATTTTGTACCTTTATCTAACTCTGGGTTTGCTGGGCTTGCAAAGGTCAACCAAAGAGTGTTTCTTAATAATGTAAGGAATTTCTAATTTCAAGAAATGTTAAAAATTCTCAAAAACTTTAATAGCTATTTAGTAACTTACACCTAAATGGTTATTGGGACAGTATCTGAAAATATGTATAAAGTATCTATCACAGCACTTGATACGCAGCAATCATTAAATATTAGCTATTTTCTTACATTTTTGTTTTTCTCATATCTGCTTTCTTTTCTCTTAAATTCACTTCATCTCACATTCTATATAGACCACATTAACTATGCCTCCTCATTTAAGATCATCTTCAAAGCAATAAACATTTCAATACCTTCACCAAGTAACTGATAACAAAAGTTAAATTGAGTACCTCTCAACTATGCTTCCTCTTATATATCACCTTTTGGTTTCCAGAGCATCCAGATTTCATTGGAAAGCATTTCATTTCATGATTAGATACGAGAGTGGGTTTGTCATACACATTTGTTATTCAAAAAAATATGTTTTATCTCTTATCAATAACCTACGGGCCCCCCAAAAGCAAATCCCTTTCTTTAACACAGTCAAGTAATTGGTGATGCAATTTCAATAGCTATGCCACTCAATAATAATAACTGGCCTTTGGAAAATAAAAGATACTTTGTGTGGCCACAGTCTTCAGTTTCCAAATACTTTAACATCATTTTCAAAAATAAAATTAAAGATATGTTAAAAGGTTGCTTCAGTACACTCCTATGTAAAATAGCAGGTGCAGCTCGGGTGGAGAGAGGGAGGTGATGGAGTACAGAAAAATACCATAACTTTTAACTAGCTATCCCAGGTCTTCAGAGTCACCTTCCACAATCTTCACGAAAAAGTTATCTGTAATTGTGAGCCTTCTCTCATATGAATGAAATCAAAAGTTTTCTTTCTTACTAGAGGCTATGTGCCTCCTTTCATGAATTGTAGTATCCTACTATGTCATAACGTCCTTTGCAATTGGCTAAAGAGGAACCAAAACACTCAAGAAGTTGGGACAGGTCACATTTTCCCTAAATTGTTCCCACTTCACCCCCAATAAACAAGTATTCTTTTGGAAACCAACTCAAGTCAGTAATCTTTCTCAAACTCAGAGCCTATCATTAAAAAGTTCCTTGCAGAGAACACAGAGATTACTCATTAAACCACCCTAACACATTATCAAGTTTTACCCACCTGTCCCAGGCCTAGGACTTCTTAAAGTGACTAAGCCATATTCTTCCCTCCCCATTTCAAAAGTTACCTAAAGAGTAAAGAACAATTTTTGAACAAAATTATGAAGTGGCTGTCTCTTAAACCAAAAAGCGTATTTACTAGATACATATTATGTGCTAAACTGTGTACTAAGTGCTTTGCTTATCTCATGTAATCTATGTAAAGTCAAGCAGGGGGTAATTACCTAACGTGTAGGAGTTAAGGGGAGGAAGGAGTAATTTTATCTAAGTATCACAAAGAAATTCAGCAAGTAATACCAATAAAATCAAGTAATCAAAAGTAAAATGAGCCATGAATGAACTGCTTACAGATCAGGAGAGAAATATAATAAAAAATACTGAACACTGTTATAATACACTTGATCCTTTGGTTTCTGGATACACAGTAAGCTAATTCTAGCCCCTTACTAAGTACCTTGTATTTGTAAAGGAGCAAAGTCAGCTGGACTCTGGATTCCCTATGTATTAAGATAACTTACAAAATCAAAATTATACATAAAAACTGGTCTTTAAAAGGTGAACTCCTTGGCCAGCGCACTAAGAGAAACAAAAGAAAGACTGGAGTAGAGGGATTAAAAATAAAAAGTTATAAAGAGAGATACAAAAACTAGAGATGCATAGACTCTAGGGCTAGAATGCCTGGATACAAATCCCAGCTCTAAAACATAGCACCTGGGTAACCTTTGCAAGTTAATGTCTACTTCACAGGCATTCTTGTGAGGATCTAATGGGTAAATATGTATAAAGTGCTGAGAAGAGAGCCTGGTAAACAGTAAGCACTATACAGTAAAACTGTCCCTTGCAGGCAATAGGATTTTCTATATAGTACACTCAGCAGACTCAAGAAATTATCAGAAATATAACTGAGCAGGTTGCTAAATATACATAATTCAACTGTATTTTTGGACCTTTTTCCTATGGAATTTTTCCAAAAAGTTTAGGGAATATTATCAAGAATTACTCCCACCCCCTCACGCACTGTCCCCCAAATCACAAGTGTCTAGTTGCACGATCAACTAATGGCCAATCTTACTTAATCCTCACCCACAACCTCCCCTGTACTCGAGATAGTAAGGAAGCAGGAGCCCAGGCATATCTTTCGTTACATCAATATTTCATTATGTATCGCTAAAAGGTAAGGGCTTTTAAAAAATACATAACTACATACTATCATCTCACCTAAAAATTAACAATAATTCTTTAATATCAAATATCTTGTCAGTGTTAAAATTTCCCTATTTCATAAATGTTTATTAAAATTTAGACTCAAATAAAGTCCAGGCACTGCTGTTAATCTACGGTTTCCTCCTCCGTTTCTCTTTTTTCTCCCTACAATTTGCTCGTTGAAAAACAAGACATATGTCTCTAAGAGTTCCCCATAACCTATATTTTGCTAACTGCATTCACATGGTATCACTTAATGTGTTTCTCTGTCTTCTGTGTTTCCTGTAAACTGGTAGAGCTAGAGACTTGATCACATTCGGGTTCAACTTTTTTGGCAAGAATACTTCATGGGCAGCACTGTGAACTTTCATTAAGAGAAAGCTAATGTCCGTTTCTGCCCGTGCAGTTAGCAGCCATTCATGATCTTTGCTTAGGTTCAGGAATTCATTAGAAAATGGTGATGTTTTTATTCTATCTGAGAAAAGAAACTTCCTCTCAGCAACTATTTGGTTGCTCTAAAGCATAGTTGGCTCCTTAGCATACTCTGAAGAAAACTAATGAGTTCTTGAAGTATCATTATGAACTCACGGATTTAAATATATTTGATATGATTCATTATATTGCAGTTAATGCTTACTGATGCTCAGATTGTCTCATCTTCTTTGGCCAACCAGAGCCCATTCAATTAAGCACCTGAGTTGTAACAACCCTATTAGTGTTTGATAACTTCACTGCAAGATGTTCAAACACCCACATCTGGAATCAGATTGAACCATAAACCAATTTTCATATTCAGCTGGTTTCTTTCTTGTTCTTTATTTTTAGTAAATAAAAATCTCTAATTATAAATCATAAATCAGTGGCATTATACAGCCTGGATATTATGATTGAACGTGGACCCAGAAATTATATAGCAAGACTTCTCACTGATTTTTAATTTCAGCATTCCTTTGAATGCTAAAAAAAAAAAAAAAAAAAAGTATATACCACTTAAAGCTGGAAATTAAGTGCTTCAACTTGAGAAATTGAAAAAAGGACTCCTAATCTACTTTCTGCTTGCATTTTGACTCTGGGAAGTATTTTTCCATGTTCTATTTCAAAATTTGGATGTGGTTTTTAGACATGTATAATACAAATTCTTTTTTTTTCTTTTTTTTTTTTCAGACGGAGTATCACTCTGTTGCCCAGACTGGAGTGCAGTGGCGCGATCTTGGCTCACTGCAACCTCCGCCCCCAGGGTTCAAGCGATTCTCCTGCCTCGGCCTCCCAAGTAGCTGGGATTACGGGCGCCTGCCACTGCACCCAGCTAATTTTTGTATTTTTAGTAGAGACGTGGTTTCACCACATTGGCCAGGTTGGTCTTGAACTCCTGACCTTGTGATCCACTCACCTAGGCCTCCCAAAATGCTAGGATTACAGGCCTGAGCTACCGTACCTAGCCCAAATTCAGTAAAAAAAAAAAAAAAAAAAAAAAAAAATTAATAAAACCAACAAGTTTGAGGATACGGTCAAACTCTCAGAGGTTGAATTATTTTGCACCGTAATTCAGACTTTTACAAAATCCTCATATTTCATCCTTAACATTGAAATTCATGATATCATGAATATAAAGTTGTAAGTTCAGACTATTTGAAATACCACAGGTATTTCATAACTAGGTAAGTTATGTCCCTTGAAATCATACAATATCAGTAGCAAGTATATCTTTATCTCATTTTACTAAAAAACTAATTAACAAACATGTAAGCCCTTTCCTCCTATACAGCTAACATATCACTGTGAAAAAGCAAAATACTATTGCTGCTATTTTGTCATAAAACTCTGAAAAGAGGTGGCTCTAGTGGCCAAAACTGCTTACATCCACAAGTTTTACTATTTTCTTCAACACTAAATCATGACAAAAAGTCACATTACTAAATGCCAATTCTCCTCTCTGAAAAAAGTGGGATATGAATTGATATCCTGCTGCAACTTCTTTTACTTAAAAAGCAAGTAGACCATTTCCTGCAGCTATAGTTGTTGGTGCTTTGATCAGAAGGAAACAAAGAAGCTTTTCTAGGCTATAATGGCTTAAAAAAACAACAGACCAATAACAAAACATAAAACTCTTCTGCTATAGTGATTTTTCAGTGATAAACAGTAACACACCTGTATCAAGCACTAGTATATCCTCTGTACATCAGTGCTTTCATCCAGCTGAAAAACAAAATACTGGCATGGGTACATGACAGTAATTGCTTTTCCAGATGGTATGTCTTTGATAAAGAATTTGTGCCAAAAGCTCATTTTACTTTCTCTGCAAGCATAATATTTGCTATTAACTTTGAAACTGGTTTTACAAGCTTCTCAATAGTAGTGAGTAGACCTGCTTTTTCCTATGAAAAAGATACCTCTGAATGATACAGTAATGTGGACCTCTCTGTCTTAGCAACAACATTCATTAATTTCACACTAAAAAGCATTATTTTTCATTATTTCACACACATTTCATTCTTCATCACCTCTAAAAATTAATTCTTACAGAAAAGGAAACTAAGAAATATTACTTCAATTCTCCCAAGGTAGCATGAGAGTAAAGCTTCTGCTCTTTCCATCACAGCACAGAAAAAAAACTGTAGCAGGGAATATCCATTCCCTTAATATAACTGGCCAAAATTTGCTTTCAAATGTTTTACTGAGTCCAGACAAAACATTTTAAAAAGGTACCATTTCAACTTAATGTAAACTGTAAACCAGGACATATAACTTTGCAAATGTTCTAGGGCCTTAACTTCCCGTCTCAAGTATTGATTTTGCTCTTATCCCCCAAAACAACAAAATCCCATATTCTTTAAATCTGAAGTTCAAATGTAAAACTCTTCCAAGCACAAATTTGTGAGATTTTTCACTTTTCTTCATTTTCAAAATGGAAAATGACAAATATGAATAGGGGATATCACTCTGTGAACATTTGAAAAACAGTGAGGAGATATAAGAAATTGATAAATGGCCAGGTGCAGTGGCTCATGCCTGTAATCCCAGCACTTCGGGAGGCCAAGGTGGGCAGATCACTTGAGGTCAGGAGTTCAAGACCAGCCTGGCCAATATGGTGAAACTCCGTCTCTACTAAAAATACAAAAATTAGCCAGGTGTGGTTGTGCACACCTGTAATCCCAGCTACTGGGGAGGAGGAGAATTGCTTGAACCCAGGAGGCGGAGGTTGCAGTGAGCCAAGATCATGCCACCACACACTCTAGCCTGGGCAACAAAATGAGACTGTCTTAAAAAAAGAAATTGATAAACAAGAAATTCCTAATTTAAAAATTTAAGCAACCTAATTTAGGCTATATGGCACTTTTATACAACCAATTAGCAATTTCAATTGATGAGAACTTCCTATTCCCTAATCTTTACTTTTGTTAAGGTCTGAATATAGAACTTAAGTATATTACTTAGAAAGGGATTCTAGATTTTGACTTGATGTACACAGTCTATGACTGCACATAAATGGCTTCAGATGGGTGTATCTAGTCTTCCTAGCCCAAGAGTAACCATTCTGAATAAAAGACATCTTCAATTCCATTTATAATGAAGTTACAGAATAATTTATATTCTTCCCCATATCTAGACTCATTCTTTACAAAGCTTGGGCATTCCACTAATGTTCCTAAGTGAAAGTAAGAAGAAAAGATATACCTAAAAAAACAAGTAAAATGGCTCTGGTACTAAGACGAACTATATATTTAATCATCATTACTATTTGAGTTCAAACGCCAACAAGAAAACAAAGAAAAGTACAATACATCTACTAATTGCCAGGGACGTTTTAAAACTTATCATCAAAGTAACCTCTTTTTCATCTGCTACTTGATTTGAGATAATTTTTCTTCAGCAAAAATTGCTCAATTACACTAACCCCTTTCAGGAGATAATCCATTTATTGTAGCTGAGGCAGTCTTAGTGATGGCAGCAGCGGCCCATCTAGAGCAGCTGCAGTGGGGTAAGTGTAGGAAGGGCTGTGTGCTCCACTGAGCCAGCAGGGGCTGGGAGCAGGCAGAAGGCCCGCCCTCCTGGGTGCAGCTGCAACTGCCCATCCACCACTGTGGACCCAGACTTCTCTGCACTCTTAGGGACCCAGGAAGGCCCCCCATGCCCCTGCAGGCTCAGAAGTGCCTACTCCCACTGCCTGGTCTCTTCCTGCTCCCAGCGCCTGCTCCAATCTCGGAGCAAAGTTGAGGCCAAGGCCGGGCACTGTTGCAACCCAGCTGGGTGGGTGCCAACGAGCACGGGTGAGAGAGGACAAGGAGAGACTCGATGCTGGCCTGCAGGTGCCCCTCAGCAGGAACAGCCTGGGCACCATGAACAATGGTAGGAGGCAGATAGACTTCTGGGCAGAAAGGGGCAGGTCCCTGGTGAAGCCTCACCTTCAAACCGGAGAAGGCTTGAAGCCTGGGGCCAAGCTGCCAGTCCTGTGGACTGGAATGGAAACTTACAGTGCTTTTTCTGGGCCCACTCATGAACCAATCAGCATGCACTTCAGCCCCTGGGAAGCCCATAAAAACCCTGGATTCAGCCAAATTCGAGGAGAGGATAGGATGACCAGCTGTGGAGAGGAGCTACCCACTCCAGGGTCTCCTCTCTGCTGAAAGCTGAGCACACAATGGAACTACCAGTTGTGGAGAAGAGCTGCCCACTCCAGGGTCTCCTCTCTGCTGAAAGCTGAGGAGAGGATGGGATGACCAGCTGCGGAGAGGAGCTACCCACTCCAACTCCATGGTCTCCTCTCTGCTGAAAGCTGAGCACTCATCGGGACACCCTGGCTGCAGAAAGGAGCTACCTATTGCAAGTCTCCTCTGAGGTGTTCTATAGCTCAATAAAGCTCCTGTTCCCTTTGCTCACCCTCCATTTACCCGTGTACCTTATTCTTCCTGGGTGTGGGACAAGAACTCGGGACATATCAAATGGCAGGATTGAAAAAGTTGTAACACAAACAGGACTGAAACATGCTCCTTGCTTGCCACGTTGTGGGTGAGAAGAGGAGAGAAGAGCTGCAGCCTTCAGGAAGCCCAGACCTAGGAGTTCCTTGAGCCAGGGCAGTGACACCCTCTTTGGAGCTCTGCAGTTCCTGGCATCTCCAAGCTTCTGAGGGCCACTGCATTCCCTGGTGCCAGCCAGGGAAGCTGCTTGTGATACACCTAGTCCAGACACAGCTTGCAGGGAGTGAGCGCCCGTGCTGATGCCTGGAGCTGCCTGCCCCGCCACAGCCAGCGTGCCTGGCTGTGCACAGTGGCCAGACCCCACACTCGCTTGCTCACACACCCCCTGCTGCTCCGCTCGCCCTTGGCAGGCATGGGATCCAGGCCAGTAGTGTGAGCTGCACACAGCCTGCCAGGCTGAGTGGGCCCACTGGGCCCAAGCAAAACTCAGGCAAAGGCGCCACCAGCCACAGAAGTTTCTGGCCAGTGAAAGGACACCCCAAGGATCCCATGACATTAGGATTCCCAATATCATGAATTCTTATTATTTTTGGAATTTATGCTTTACATAGTCTTCTTCTAAAACAGAACAAAGTTAAGAATCCTAGTAATAAGTGATACATATTTACATTTTTCTCAGGTTTTACTTTCTCTATATTCTAGCAAAATATTAATTTACAAAACTCTGTAACATATTCAGAGAAATCAACAAACTCTGACCTGTCCCCTAAAATACTTAGCATACTTTCTGCCTATTTGGAAAAATATAATTAAAATAAAAAATATTTTGTTTTTAAATAAACACCTAACTCACTCTACCTGTTTGGAATTCATGTGAAAACAGAACTATTTTTGTTTTTGCTTTCTGTTGACATTATATATCTTTTTTGTTTTATTTGTCTTATGTAGTCTTTCAAGTGGGGATCCACCCCATGTTTTGGAAGTGTCACCTGATTCTTTAGTTAAATATCTTGGTTTTCTGGCCCAAGTAATTCATTAGATCCCAAAGGTCCTACAGGGACAGCTTATGGGGAGTAACAGTGACACATACTGGTGAATAGAAAATCCTTAACAATAAATTTAGGAGGAAAGGCAAGAAAGGTTTCAAACCATCTAAAGGATGATCAGTAAGGTCTCTGACATCTTGCAGGTGGACTCAGAGTGCTGCATTCAGTTCCTTTTCTCAGGGGTCATAATGTAAATAAAATAATTATTAAATTGACATTTATTTATTCCAGTTCTTCTAATATAGTTACTGAGACTTAATCTACACTTAATTTATCTCTTATAATTGACATGCTTTCCTAATTTTAATAAATATATCCCTTTAAAATCTTGTCTACAGCCATACCACCCTGAACACACCTGATCTCAAAAGCAAAGCACAGTCGGGCCTGGTTAGTACTTGGTTGTGAGACCACATTGGAATACTGAGTACTGCAGGCTTTTGGAAAAAAAATCTGGATCTTTTCTCAGTTGGTTTCTTTGGGAGTATAGTGGGAAAGGAGGGAAGTGAACTCTTCTCTAAGAGCTAAGCATTCTAACATATAAGTACTTTTAAACTCACCAAACCTATATCTAGAAATCAACACTAGAAAATGACTACTAAGGAGTCAAAACTAAAGTAAAATTGTGTCTCAAATACCTCAGAATAAGTAGAAATTCTAAATGTTGGTAACTTCTTTTGGAAGCAAAGTTGCCTACTGCATGATCTTGCTTGATGGTCCTTGATTTTATCATCAGAGTCAGTTCCAGTTACATTTCCATTAGTATGGATAGATCTAAAGCAGGAGAGAGAAGACACAATTGGGCCATTGAAAACATTACAGATTTTGGGTAGTGTGACACACCACTGTTTGTAAGCATACAAAGATTCTTACACAGATGCTTTAGTTATTCAAGAAATGTCAATTCTCATTCTTGTCACTACTAACAAGTTTTTAAAAATTAATTTAAATATTAAAGGTATAATAGATAAATATATCAAGTTGACAAAAGGTAGTTGCTGGCTCTTTTAAAAGCTCAGATCCCCAAAGGAGGCATGAAATCAATTGGGGCTTGCCTTGGTATTCCAGGGGAGTTGCTGAAGTCACCCCAGCAGCAGTAGCCTGAGTATCCAGTTTCAGGTAAAGTGGAACAGTAAAAGGAAACAGGGTTCCTAGCAGAAGAACTCTGTAATAAAGAAGCACCTGATATCATGGCTATTATTCCGTCCTAGGCCACTGGAAGTGGGATATTACAAATTAGATTTTACTAAATTAATGGTACAGTAGATCATGCTTGTAATCCCAGCACTTTGGGAGGCCAAGGTGGGCAGATTGCTCGAGCTCAGGAGTTCAAGACCAGCCTGGGCAACATGACAAAACTCTGTTTCTACAAAAATTACAAAAATTAGCTGGGCTTGGTGGCATCCACCTGTAGTCCCAGCTACTCGGGAGGCTGAGGTAGGAGAATGGCTTGAGCCCAAGAGGTTGAGACTGCAGTGAGCCAGGATCATGCCACTGTACTCCAACCTGGGTGAAAGAGTGAGATCTTGTCTCAAAAAAAAAAAAAGAGAGAGATTTACTGGCTTTTGCTATTTAAGGCCAAACTAATTTAGGCTTTACCACCCAGGGTTAAGCTTTTTACTAACATCTTCTTTACAATCACAAAGACAGGCAGTGGATCAGGCTCCAGAGACGGTCATTATACCACGGGTCAGAAATGTGGGGCTAGTTACTTCTACCTGTGACTCCTACGCCTATCACTCTTGGGCTTTATTCAAAACACAAGCCATTCTGGCCAACTACCCTCTGTCCTATTTACATGCCCCCAGTTATGCTTTCTCATCTACTCCATTTGGTCTCCCACTGCTGCCCTTGCTTCTAACCTTTTCCACAAGGACCTCTGGAAATCCCTCTTATGTAAGTAAAACAAATCATCTCTACATTCTCATCACTGAGAATGATGACCAACTCTGACCACTCACTGGCCAACTCTCATCACTGACCATCACTGACCAACTCTTTCAACCACTGGGCTAAATCTGGCTTTCGAAAATAATGCTTTAGAGCGAAGGATAAGGCAGCAAAGACAAAATTCTCCAGAGTGACACTTCCAGACCCTCCCAAGCAATTTCCTTCCTTCCCTGTGATGTCCCATCTGGCTGTATAACCCTCTTCTTCAATTTGTCATTCAATATCTCACTCTATTTTTTCTAACCTGAGTCCAGACTCATTCCCTTGGATGCACTCTACCTGCTCTTTCTCCATTCTAGTCGCTTGTTATCTCCAGTTTCAAAATCTTGGTCATCTCCCCAACTATAAATCCACATAGTATGCTATTTCTTGCTTCAGCTTCACCACCCTCAAACTCCTAATCCAATCACCTGCTAGAGAAAAATCACACAACCATGTGAATTGATCCTGCTATAAAATTATGGTCTCAAAATTCAGCTAGACTCCGAATGCTGTGCAGCAACCCTTAATGCACCATTAATCAGGTCCTTCTCCCATAATTGACACTGCCTTTTTTCCCAAACTTTTGCCACTCTACCTCTTCCAGCCCTACTAGGGGTGGAATGGAATCGAGGTTTCTTCATGTTTTCCTTACCCATTTGTGTAAATTGTTTATATTGTGAAAATACAGATTGAGTATCCCTTATCCAAAATGCTTGGGACCAGAAGTGTTTCAGACTGCAGATTCTTTTGGATTTGGGGATATTTGCATTACACTTACTAGTTGAGAATGTGAAATCCAAAAATCTGAAATTCAAAATGCTCCTTTGAGCTCATGTCAGCATTCAAAAAGTTTTGTAATGTGAAGCATTTCAGATTTCAGATTTTCAAATTTGGGTTGCTCAACCTGTACTATTTCTCTTGCTTACTTTTAACATGTTCTCAGTCTTACCACTGGCCCTTAATACAGAAGTTTTTATTTTCAGGTGGATGGATTTGCCCATCATTGACTTTTTCATATCTTTTATTATTTCTCTGCTTTGAAATTTCTCCCCCTTTAATAATAGTAGATAATGCTCTGATTTTCATTTTTCTATGGACTAATCTTCTCAATATTTCATTTCATATAATGTATAGAGTGAGATTTGGCTCTAAACTGACCTGCATTTCAAATTACCAACCAGTTTTTCCTAGCAACATTAAGGTATTCTCATCATCCCTTGGTTTACAAAGTTTCTTCTTTTATACTTCCTTTGTTTGCCCATAAGGTTGGTCTCTGAGCTATAATCTATTTAAGTAATTATTGTTTCTTTGTAGGTTTTAATTTGTGATAAGAATATTCTTGGTATTTTCATCTATTTTTTTCTGACAATAAACACATCTTATCAGATTCCAAGGGTATTCCTGGTGATTTCATGAGTAAGAAATGGCTGCCTTGCCCACTCCAAGTACTGTGTACTTCTGTTATAGTTTTTATCTATACAAAGTGCTCCTTTCTACTTTGAGTGAACATCCATACTACTACTGCTTCTAAAACCAAAACCTTCCTAATTGTGCTAGAAAGCTACCTTTTTGCATATTTCTCTATCTGGAGCCAGATTCATGAAACCTTGTCCTTCACAATTTTCCAAACTTTGTATTCACTCTCTCATTGGTGAAAGCTGGCTTATGTAAAATAAAAGCATCTCACATCCAATTTTTGTTTCATAGACTAACATTTTTTATCGCTCTGAAGAATTTTTCAGATCTTCCTATCTTTCAATATCTACATAGTTATGTCTATTGGTTTTCATTTTTTGAATACATGCTATATTCATGATTTAAAAATCAAAATGATATAAAAGGAAACCTATATCTAAGAAGTCTCATTCCCACATCATCCACATGCAGGTCATTTTGCCCTTGCTTACTGTAGGTTACCACTTTTATTAGTTTCTTATATATTCTTCCAGCAATGCTTTACACAAAGACATTTACCTACAAATACAGTCTTATTCCTCCTGCCTTCTTACAAAAAATGTTCAGTTTTGCATCTTACTTTTTATTCAGCAGTATGTCCTGGATATCCAAGTTAGGAAATGTTTCTTTATTGCTTTTACAGCTCTACAATATTCCATTGCATAAACATATACTAGTTTGTGTAACGAATCCCCTATTTTCCAAAAATTAGATTTTATGAATTTAAGTCTTATTTCTGACAATAATTTAGTTCAAAAGCAACAACAACTACACAAACCAAACAGCACAGAAACCTCTGTGGTGTGATTTCACAAATTTGTATTCTATTAATAAATATGAGCTTCCTTGTACGTCACTTTATCTTTTATCTCAAGTTTACTCTATGATCCTATCTAAAAACTCAACAACCATTATGCTCATAAACTTGCAAAATCTTAAAGCTGCCCAATCTCACTGAGGGTTTCAATGGGCCTGCAAAAAGTAAAACACATTCTACAAGAGACACAGTCAAGAATGTTCCATTCTACTTATTGGAATCAGGAAAGGCTTCATGGAGGAAATAGCCTGGGTTCAAACCTAAAAGATGAAGTGATCAAGACGCAGATGAGAGAAAAGGGAAAACATTAAAGGAGGATCAGCATAAACAGAATTTTTAAATTGTCAAGCACTCTAAGTAGTTCCATTTCTGCTTAGAATGCAGAAAGCCACCAAAGAATGTCATTTCCACCCTAATGAGAAAAAAAAATCATATCCATAGAATCAAAACTTCTCTTGGTCTAACAAAGAGTGGAGGTCACAAGGCAACCAAGTAAATTTAATAAAATTCCAAGTACATTTTATTCCTCTCCTTGGAGGGATAACTCCTCCAAGGAAAGACTACACACAAACTGTCTGACCTCTGGCAGGTCACAGAAAAAGAAGTGGCCACTATACAACAGTATAAGAAAAAATCAGCTAAAATTTTAACAAATTCTTAAAGACCAAGTGTAACCTATTATGACAGTTTAGAATAGCTGGGGACCCCAGACATAAGGAAAGTTCTCTCAGTTGCAAGATTTTCCACGTGCCTTGACCAGGTGCTCACAAGAAAGATTAGTATAATAGTAGGCCAGGAAACCAGAGAGAGCCCTCATCATCAGGGGAAGTGTGCAGGAGGTGTCTAGGACAAGGCTGAAGCCTGATTCCCCAACTGTTCTCCAACACAGAAAAAAAGCCTCAAGCCACTAGGAGAAGAACAGAAAATCCTCTAACCAAAGGTCCTGGCAAAAATCCATTGCTTCAGGGCAGAATGGAAGCAAAATGCCTCTGCCTCTGGGGAACAGATAGACAAACACTCTCAGTTATGTTACAGGGAAAGATACAATGTTGCTAGGAGAGGGGTAGAGGCAAAAGAACCTCTGCCAGGTGGTGGAGTACAGAGCAGGAAAAAGAGTTAGGCAACGAATCCTGCACCAATACCAAAGAAACTTCTACTACCGCTAGGGGAAAAGAAGGATATTCCTGTCCATGACCTACCACAAAACATGGAAGAAAGGGCAGGCCACAAGAAAGAGAAGGCAGGAATGCTGAGGCTGAGAGAGCCCAGTTGATGCCCAGGACAAATGGCCTGAATACAATTGAGTCTGAACCAGAACAAAAGAGAAGCCTGCTCTGCACCACAAGCATGGCACTGAATAACAAACAACAGGCTATCACTGGGAAAGGGGCAACAACATAAGGAGAAATATTGGTACTTCTATGCACAGATGTGCAAAGACTGTTGGAAGATGAGGATGGTACAGGAACACAGAGAAAAATCTTGTAGAGCGACATGCCATTCTCTAAACACAAGGGACCAGCAGCCAACTGCTGGAGAAATATGAAGCTTGTGGTGCACTGAGAGGGTAATGACGGTGACAAAACCCAAAATCAGCTCAACTCTTGATTACACTGATTCAGCCTCCAACACAAACAACCTGACAGAGGCAGCAGCAAAAGAGGATCACCTTAGTCTCGTCCTTTTAGCAGAGAGATGGAAACTTTAAAAAGTAAAATATGAAAGCTAAAAACAAAAAGAAAAAGATATCAGAGGTGAAAAATTATTTTTCTAACTGCACTACCCCAGTCTGATTCAACTTTTATGTAACAAAGTTGCGAGTTGTTTTTCAGTTGCCATGGACCCCCACGTTGAATGTCACATAACCTGAGCATGCCCAGATAAACCAAGCATGCAACCACAAGTGGAACCTAAGTGCTCAGACTAAGGAACAGGGACTGAATTAAGAAGCAGACAGCATACAGCAGGATTCAGGATCCAACGAGATCAAGCCCTGGCATTACCCCAAGACAGGATCCAATCAGATCACACCTCTAGGTATCACCTCATCGCAAGATCCAATTAGATCATGCTTCATTACTCTCTGACTATAAAACATGCCCCAGCTCAGGAGACAGATTTGAGCCACTCTCCTGTCTCCTAATTTGGTGGCCTTGCAATAAACTTTTCCCTCTACAAAAACCTGATGCTTCGGTGTTTCGCTTTTGATATTGTTTGACTGTGTCCCCACCCAAATCTCAACTTGAATTGTATCTCCCAGAATTCCCCCATGTTGTGGGAGGGACCCAGGGGGAAGTAATTGAATTATGGGGGCCAGTCTTTCCTGTGCTATTCTCGTGATAGTGAATAAGTCTCATGAGATCTGATGGGTTTTATCAGGGGTTTCCACTTTTGCTTCTTCCTTATTTTCTCTTGCCACCACCATTTCAGAAGTGCCTTTCACCTCCCGCCATGATTCTGGGGCCTCCCCAGCCATGTGGAACTGTAAGTCCAATTAAATCTCTTTTTCTTCCCAGTCTCGGGTATGTCTTTATCAGCAGCGTGAAAATGGACTAATACAGTTTTCCGTTGCACACAGGCAAACAAACTTAGTTAAGTTCAGCAGCACTTTGACTGGCTCAACAGTAGCCTGGACAGGGATGAAGAAAGAACAAGTGAACTTGCATACAGGTCAATAAAAATAATCCAGAATGAAACCAAAGTTAAAAAGAGTGGGGGAAAAATACAGTTTGGAGTATTCAAGAGCTGTGGAATTATATCAGAATGTCTATTACTCCCAGGAGAAGAAAAAAAAATAATGGAGACAAAAAATATGGAAGAGATCATGGCCAAGAATTTTCCCAAAATGAACCCAAGGGTTCATTTTGGGAAAATGAACCAGAGATCCAAAAAATTCCAAGGAACCCTTCATAATAAACACCAAAAGCACACACACCAAACATACATGGATATATCATAGTCAAACTGCTGAAAATGAAGATAAAAATCGCAAAGTTAGAGAGAGAAAAAAATATCACAAAGAACAAAGATTAAAATTACAGAAGACTTCTTATCAGGAAAGTATGCAAGCCAAAAGAGAATAGAGTATATACCTTTCAAGGATTGAAAGAAAAAAAAGCTGAACATAGAATTCAGTTCTATGTATAGAATTCAATAACCAGCAAAAATACTTTTCGACAATAAAGGGCTTTTTTTGAACTAATAATACCTGAGATAATTCACTCCCTGCAGACACAAAATATATTAAAGGCAGTTCTTCAGGCAGAAGTATAGTACCAGGTAAAAATCTGGATCTACCAAAAAAGGGGGAAGGGAGGGGAGAAGGAGGAAGAAGAAGAAGAGGAAGAAGAGGAGGAGGAGCAGGAGGAGGAGGGGGAGGGGGTAGCAAAGACGAAGAGCATTGGAAGATAAATATAAAAGACTACTTTTTCTTACTTTGTTCACCGTAGATTATTCACCAACTAAAGCAAAAATTAATAAGACTGCATTGTAGGGTTAGTAACATATAGAAGTAAAATGTGTAACAACATGGCATAAAAAGGGGAGATACAAAATTGAAGTACAGTGCTGTAAAGTTATTATATGACATATAAAGTGGCATAATATTATTTAAAGGAAGAATGTGATAAGTTAAAGATATATCTTTTAAACTCTAGAGTAGCAGTTCTCAACCAAGGGCAATTCCCGCCCCAACCCACCGTTGCTACCCCCATGAAAACATTTAGCAAAGTCTGAAGGCATTTTTGGTTGTCACAATTGGGAATGGGGCGTGGCTGCTACTCTCATCTAGTAGGCAGACACCAAGGATGCTGCTAAAAATCCTACAATACATACAGGATAGCCACCCCCCCCAACCCAACAACAACAATGAATTATCTGGCCCAAAATATCAATAGTATCAAGGTTTAGGAACAATGGCCTAGAGCAAGCACTAGGTAAATAAGTAGCTAAGAGTAGAGATAAAGTGGAATCATGGAAAATGATTAATTCAATACAAGGCAAGAAAAGAAGAAAAAATTTCTGGTTCTAGGTCTTTGGGGAATCGCCACACTGTCTTCCACAATGGTTGAACTAATGCACATTCTGACCAACAGCATAAAAGTGTTCCTATTAATCCACAGTCTCACCACCATCTGTTGTTTCTTGACTTTTTAATAATAGCCATCCTGACTGGCATGAGATGGTATCTCACTGTGATTTTGATTTGCATTTCTCTAATGACCAGTGATGTTGAGCTTTTTTCCATACGTTTGTTGGCCACATAAATGTCTTCTTTTGAGAAGTGTCTGTTCATGTCCTTTGCCCACTTTTTAATGGGGTTGCCTTTTTCTTATAAATTTGACCCAGCAATGCCATTACTTGGGATATACCCAAAGGAATATAAATCATTCTACCATAAACATGCAAGCGTATGTTCACTGTAGCATTATTCACAATAGCAAAGATGTGGAATCATCCCAAATGCCCATCAATGATAGACTAAACAAAATGTGGTACATATACACCATGGAATACTATGCAGCCATGAAACAGAATGAGATCATGTCTTTTGCAGGTACATGGATGGCGCTGGAAGCCATTATCCTCAGCAACTAACGCAAGAACAGAAAACCAAACACCGCATGTTCTCACTTGTAATTGGGATCTGAACATATGAGAACACATGGACATAGGGAGGGGAATACACACTGGAGCCTGTCAGGGGGGCGGGGGAAGAGAGAGTATCAGAATAAATAGCTAATGCATGTTGGGCTTAACACCTAGGTGATGGGTTGATAGGTGCAGCAAACCACCATGGAACATGTTTACCTGTGTAACAAACCTGCAGATCTGGCACGTGTATCCTGGAACTGAAAATAAAATAAAGAGGAAAAAATAAACAAAAAAGGCCCAAAATTCAGAAGACTAGCAAGATGGTACATTTAAATCCAAACATCAATAACTAAGTAGAAATAATCTAAGCTTACTAATTAAAAGAATAAATTATGAGATCAAATGTTTAAAACAAGATCCAACTACATCCTATCTACAAGGTACCCACTTTAAATACGAAGAGAAAAGTTAAGTAAAAAGGATAGAATAGAAAGGAAAGACAGAACTGATACAATATCGACAAAACAAACCTCAGAACAAGAAATATTTCCAGTAATAAAGTGGAACACTATGTAATTACAAAGAATCAATTCATTAAGAAGACATAGCAATCCTAAATGTGTTACTATCTAACAATACAACTTCAAATTAAATGAAACAAAAACTGATAGGACTGTAAAGAGAAATAGGCAAATCCACAATTACAGTTATCGATATGAATACTCCTGTTATTAATCAATAGAACAAGAAGACAGAAAATAACTAAGATACAGAAGACCTGAAAACATTACCAACTAACTTGATCAAACTGGACATTTACAGAACACTCTACACGAGCAAAAACTATGTTCTTTTCAGGAGCACATGGAATATTCACCAACATGGACCGTATTCTGGCCCGTAAAACAAACTTTAAGATATTTAAAATACTTAAAATCAAATAATGTATTTTTTCTGGCCAAAATGGAATTAAATTAAAATTAATAACTCAAAGATAGATTAAGAATACCAAAGAGTTGGAAATTAAACAACATGTTTCTAAAATACTCCATGGGTTAAACAAAAAAGTAAGGAAAATTAGAAAATACTTTTAATTGAGTGAAAATTAAAAGAGAAAATATCAACGTTTGTGGGGAGGGCCTTTTCCTCTCGGAAGTCCCCTCTCTCTCACTAGAGAGAGAGCTGTTTTCCTTTCTTTTTCTTTCTCTTTCTCTTGCCTATTAAACCTCCGCTCCTAAACTCCTCGTGTGTGTCTGTGTCCTAAATTTTCCTGGTGTGAGATGACAAACTCCGGGTATTTACCCCAGACAACGTAGACGCTTCATATTGGGAACCTCGTCTGGGATACCAAGGTACAACATTCATCAAAACGGTAAGTAGAGAAGCGGACTCCAATCCTGTCCTTTCATTTTGGGGCTCTCAGCCTCCATTTTAGAGCCAAATCAAATCAGTAACAGGCATCCGTCAGCCAATTAAAAACACAGCATGGTTGCCATTCTTAAAGACTCGGATGTGTGACTTACTAGGGAGAACATCGAGAATCCCCCAGCACCAACATGTTGCTGGCTATGTTGGCCATGTTTGAACCAGCTTCCTTTCACGGAGGATTCAGCTGTCGTGTGAGGCTGGAAGAGGTTCTGGAGCAGGATTTCTGGCTGGGGCTACCCCCTGGTATTAGTCAAAGGTTTCTGGACTGACCTCAGCATCCAACTGCCCAAAGGGGTGTTAGCAAAAGGATCTCCAACTTTTCTATCGTAATTTCCTCCTTTCCTATCCACGATTGCCGTATCTCCTGTCCTCTTTTCCTCTCCGAAGTCCCCTCTCTCTCATTAGAGAGAGAGCTGTTTTCCTTTCTCTTTCTCTTGCCTATTAAACCTCTGCTCCTGAAAAAACAAAAAACACAACAAAAAACAAAAACAAACAAACAAAAAATCAGGGATACTACTAAAGTAGTTTTTAGAAACTTACAGCATGAAATGCTTACATTACAAAACAAGTAAGGTCTTGAATCAATAATTTAAGCCTCCACCTTAAGGAGGTAGAAAAAGGAGTAAATTAAATACAAAGCAATTTGAAGAAAAAAAATTGAAAACAAAACATAGAGGTATCTATGAAACACAAATCTAATTCTTTGAAAAGTTCAATGAAACTAAATAAATTTCTAACCAGAGTGATCAAAAAAAGAGAGAAGCCACAAATTACCTACATTGGTAATGAAAAGGAGACATCACTAGAGATTTTATAGCTATTAAAGGGATAATTAGGGAATATTCTGAACAATTTTATGGCAATAAACTCCACAACTTAGATAAAACGTACCAATTCCTTAACTCATAATTTAAAACCTTCTCAAGAAAACACTTCCATGACAAAGGCTCCCTTGGTGAATTCTACTAAACATTTAATGAAGAAATCATACCAATATTACAAAAACTCTTCCAGAAACAAGAAGAAAACGTTTCTCAATTCATTTTATGAGAATATAGTATTGACCCTAATACAAAAATCAGACCAAAACAAACTACAAGAAAACTACAGACCATCATACTTTGATGAACATAGATGGAAAATATCTTAACCAAATGAATCTAGCCAATATACTGAAAGAAATATATATCCTAGCCAAATGCCATTTATCCCAAGAATGCAATGTTGGTTCAACATATGAAAGAAAATCCATCAATGTAATACGCCACATTAACAGACTGAAAAATAAATGATCATCTTAATTAATGGGGAAAAAAACGGCATTTGTGCTGGGCAAAGTGGCTCACGCCTGTAATCCCTGCACTTTGGGAGGCCGAGTGGGCAGATCACTTGAGGTCAGCAGTTTGGGACCAGCCTGGCCAACAAGGTGAAACCCCGTCTCTACTAAAAATACAAAAATTAGCTGGGTGTAGTGGCGCACACCTGTAATCCCAGCTACTCGGGAGGCTGAGGCAGGAGAATCACTTGAACTTGGGAGGTGGAGGCTGCAGTAAGCCAAGATCGCCCACTGCACTCCAGCCTGGGCGACAGAGTGAGACCCTGCCTCAAAAAAAAAAAAAGAAGGCATTTGAAAAACTTCCACATCATTCATGATTCAAAACTCTCAGAAAACTAGAAACAGAAGAGAACATCCTCAACCTACGTATCTATAACAAATCTATAGCTAACATTATACATAATCACAAAAGATTAAACGTTGTCTCCTAAGATGACGAACGAGACATGAACGTCTGCTCTCACCACTCCTATTCAACAATGTACTGTATTGTATTACACTGTCAGTACAGTGATGCAAGAAGGAATAAAAGCCAGAAGATGGATTTTAAAAGGGGAAACAAAACTGTTTTTTTCCACAAATGACAAGACTGTCTATATAGAAAATCCCAAAGGATTAATCTACTGAATTTATCTAATAAATTTCTACTATTAAAACTACTAAATGAATTAAGCAAAATTGCAGAAGACAAGGTCAACACACAAAATTACATTGTACTTCTAGTGGTAGTAACGAATAATTAGAAATAAGTTCACAAAATAGTAGCAATTGTATAAACATTAAAAAGAGATAGAATATAACAAAATAAATGCAAGATTTTTGTGCTCAAAAATATAAAGCACAGGCCGGGAGCGGTGGGTCACGCCTTTAATCCCAGCACTTTGGGAGGCCAAGGCAGGCAGATGACGAGGTCAGGAGATCAAGGCCATCCTGGCTAACATAGTGAAACCCCGTCTCTACTAAAAATACAAAAAATTAGCTGGGTGTGGTGGCACATGCCTGTAGTCCCAGCTACTCGGGAGCTGAGGCAGGAGAATTGCTTGAACCTAGGAGGCAGACGTTGCAGTGAACTGAGATCATGCCATTGCACTCCAGCCTGGACAACAGAGCGAGACTCCATCTCAAAAAAAAAAAAAAAAAAAAAAAAAAAAAAATATATATATATATATATATATATATATATATAATATATATGAAGCACAGTGAGAAATCAAAGACCTCAATAATTGGTGATACATTATTTTCAAATATCAGATCAATCAATATTGTTAAGATGTCAATTTTCCCCCAAATTAATGTAAATCCAATTAAAATCCCAGCAGGCTTTTTAAAAAAACTGACAAGCTGATTCTAAAATTTTATGAAAATGCAAAGAAACCAGAATAGTCAAAACACTTTTCAAAAAGAAGAACAAAGTTGGAAGACTTAGATTCACTGATTTCAAGACTTTCCATAAAGCTACAGCAATTAAGACATTGTGATTCTGCCATAAGGATAAACACAAAGATAATGGAATAGAAGGGATAGTCCAGAAATAAATCTACATATTATGGTCAACTGATTTCAAACAAAAGTACCAGGGTAACTCAATAGAAAGAGAACTGTCTTGCAACAAATGGTGCAGGAACAATTGGCAGTCCATATGCCAAAACAAAAACAAAAACAAAAACAAAAGCCTCAACCCACACCTCATGTCTTACACAAAAATTAATAGACCTAAATAGAAAAAATTCAAAACTATACAACTTAGGAAAACATAGAAGAAAATCTTTGGGATTGCAGGTTAGCCCAGGGGTTGGTAAACTTATCCTGCAGAGAGCCAAACAGTCTCTGCTGAAACTACCCAACTCTGCCATTGTAGCATGAAAGCAGCCATAGACAATACATAAGCAAATGTTCACAGCTATATTCAAATAACATTTTATTTACAAAAACAAGTAGTGGGCTGAATTAGGTCGTTAGTTTGCCAACCTCTCACTGACGGAGAGTTTTTATATATGATGCTTAAAAACACAAACGATAAAAGAAAAAAAAATAACACTTTATTAAAATTTTAAACTTTTGCTGTTCAAAAGATAGTGTTATAAAAATGTAAAGACGAACCACAAATTTGGAGAAAATATTTGCAAAACAAACATCTGATGAAGGACTTGTTTTCAGGACATAAAGAACTCTTCAACACAATAATTAAAAAAATTCAATAAAAATAATGGGCAGAATATTTGGACAATGCAAAAATGACAACTCTTAACAAGCAGTCTAGAGACATGGTACATATGTTTAACCTTTCCTACTGGTCTTTATGCTATCTGAAACAGAACCAATCTTGCCTGGATAGAGCATCCAGTGTTCTGCCTTACAAAAAAAGACAACCACAAATGAAAACTATCAGAGCTTTTTTTTTTTTTTTTTTGAGACAAAGTCTTCCTCTGTCACCCAGGCTGGAGTGCAGTGGCACAATCTCAGCTCACTGCAACCTCCGCCTCCCAGGTTCAAGCGATTCTCCTTCCTCAGCCTCCCAAGTAGCTGAGATTACATGCCTAGCTAATTTTTGTATTTTTAGTAAAGATGGGGTTTCACCTTGGTGGCCAGGCTGGTCTCAAACTCCTGACCTCAAGTGATCCACCCGCCTTGGCCTCCCAAAGTGCTGGGATTTCAGGCATGAACCACTGCACCCAGCCTATCAGAGCATTTTTAAAGTTAGGTAATACAAATACTTGGTACAAAAAGGAAACTGTACAAAACAAGTGATGGTGAACAGGAATTTCCCTCCAATCATCCAGCTCCCTTCCCTTGTTTACTAGGCATTCATAGATATTCTATGCACATAAAAGCAAACAAAAACAACAGTGGCATATCTGATATGGTTTGGCTGTGTCCCCACCCAAATCTCATCTTGAATTCCCATGTGCTGTTAAAAGGACCTGAAGGGAGGTAACTGAATCATAGGGGCAGGTCTTTTCCCATACTGTTCTCATGGTAGTGAATAAATCTCTCGAGATCTGATGGTTTCATAAGGGGGAGTTTCCCAGCACTAGCTCTCTCTCAACCTGCTGCCATCCATGTAAGATGTGACTCACTCCTCCTCCCCTTCTGCCATAATTGTGAGGTCTCCCCAGCCACGTGGAAATGTAAGTCCATTAAACCTCTTTCTTTTGTAAATTGCCCTGTCTTGGGTATGTCTTTATCAGCAGCATGAAAATAGACTAATATGGTAAGTTGGTTCTGGGAGTCGGGGGTGCTGCTGAAAAGATACCTAAAAATATGGAAGCAGCTTTGGAACTGGGTAACAGGCAGAGGCTGGAATGGTTTGAAGTGCTCAGAAGAAGAGAGGAAAATGTGGGAAAGTTTCAAACTTTGTAGAGACTTGTTGTATGGCTTTGACCAAAATGCTGATAATGATAAGGACAATGAAATCCAGGCTGAGGTGGTCTCAAATGGAGAGGAGGAAGTTGTTTGCTATAACTTGTTTTAGCAAAAAGATTGGTGGCATGTTGCCCCTGCCCTGGAGGTTTGTGGAAATTTGAACTTCAGAGAGATGATTTAGGGTATCTGGCGGATGAAATTTCTAAGCAATAAAACATTCAAGAGGTGACTTGGGTGCTGTTAAAGGCATTCAATTTTAAAAAGGAAATAGAGGCTGGGTGCGGTGGCTCATGCCTGTAATCCCAGCACTCTGGGAGGCCGAGGTGGGTGGATCACAAGGTCAGGAGATCGAGACCATCCTGGTTAACACGGTGAAACCCTGTCTCTACTAAAAATACAAAAACAAAATTAGCTGGGCGCAGTGGTGGGCACCTGTAGTCCCAGCTACTCAGCAGGCTGAGGCAGGAGAATGGCGTAAACGCGGGAGGTGGAGCTTGCAGTGAGCCCAGATTGCGCCACTGCACTCCAGCCTGGGTGACAGAGTGAGACTCTGTCTTAAAAGAAAAGGGAAATAGAGCATAAAAATATGGAAAAATTGCAGCCTGACAATGTGATAGAGAAGAAAATCCTATTTTCTGAGGAGAATTCAAACTGGCTGCAAAAATCTGCACAAGTAATGAAGAGCCGAATGTTAATCACCAAGACATGGGGAAAATGTCTCCAGAGCATGTCAGAGACCTTTGTGGCAGCCCCTCCCATCACAAGCCCAGATGTTTAGGAGGAAAAAATGGTTTTGCGGGCCAGGCCCAGGGTCCCTCTGCTATATGCAGTCTAGGGACTTAGTGCCCTGTGTGCCAGCCACTCCAGCCATGACTAAAAGGGGCCAAGGTACAACTCAGGCTGTTGTTTCAGAGGGTGCAAGCCCCAAGCCTTAGCAGCTTACACATGGTGTTGAGCCTGTGAGTGCACAGAAGTCAAGAACTGGGGTTTGGGAACCTCTGCCTAGATTTCAGAAGATGTATGGAAACACCTGGATGCCCAAAGAGAAGTTTGTTGCAGGGGCGGGGCTCTCATAGAGAACCTCTGTTAGGGCAGTGCAGAAGGGAAATGTGGGGGTCAGAGCCCCCACACACAGTCCCTACTGGGGCACCATCTAGTGATGCTGTGAGAAGAGGGCCACCATCCTCCAGACCGCAGAATGGTAGATCCACCAACAGCTTGCACCATGCACCTGGAAAAGTTGCAGGCACTCAACGCCAGCCCATGAAAGCAGCCATGAGGAAGGCTGTACCCTGCAAAGCCACAGGGGCAGAGCTGCCCAAAACCTTGGGAACCCACCCCTCGCAACAGCTTGTCCTGGATGTGAGACATGGAGTCAAAGGAGATCATTTTGAAGCTTTAAGATTTGACTGCCCTGCTGGATTTTGGACTTGGTTGGGACCTGTAGCCCCTTTGTTTTGGCCAATTTCTCCCATTTGGAATGGCTGTATTTACCCAATGCCTGTACCCCCAAGTATCTAACTTGCTTTTGATTTTACAGGCTCATAGGCGGAAGGGACTTGCCTTGTCTTGGATGAGACTTTGGACTGTGGACTTTTGAGTTAATGCTGAAATGAGCTAAGACTTGGGGGACTGTTGGGAAGGCATAATTGGTTTTGAAATGTGAGGATGCAAGATTTGGAGGGGCCAGGGATGGAATGATATGGTTTGACTGTGTCCCCACCCAAATCTCATCTTGAATTCCCACGTTGTGGGAAAGACCTGGTAGGAGGTAATTGAATCACAGGAGCAGGTCTTTTCCCATGCTGTTCTCGTGGTAGTGAATAAATCTCACAACATCTGATGCTTTTGTAAGGGGGAGTTTTCCTGCACATGCCCTCTTTCTTTGCCTTCTGCCATCCATGTAAGACGTGACTTGCTCCTCCCCTTCCACCATGATTGTGAGGCTTCCCCAGTCATGTCGAACTGTAGGTCCATTAAACCTCTCTCTTTTGTAAATTGCCCAGACTTAGGTGTGTCTTTATCAGCAGTAAGAAAACAGAGTAATACAATACTATACAGTTTCATATCTTTTTTTAACATAGTGTATCTTAGCACTCATTTCATAGCATTCCTTATAGAATTCCCTCATCCTTTTTTTTTTTTTTTTTTTTGAGACAGAGTCTCACTCTGTTGCCCAGGCTGGAGTTCAGTGGTGCGATCTCGGCTCACTGCAAGCTCCGTCTCCCAGGTTCACGCCATTCTCCTGCCTCAGTCTCCCGAGTAGCTGAGACTACGGGTGCCCGCCACCAGGCTTGGCTAATTTTTTTGTATTTTTAGTAGAGACAGGGTTTCACCACGTTAGTCAGCATGGTCTTGATCTCCTGAGCTCATGATCCGCCCACCTCGGCCTCCTAAAGTGTTGGGATTACAGGCATGAGCCATTGCACCTGGCTCCCTCATCCTTTTTTTTAACAATCTCATGATATATGAATACATCACAATTTAATCAGCCCCTCACTGATTATGCATTTGCAATATTTTGCCATACAATGCTGTATCTCTGTACTCATGAAGCAGAATTACTGAGTCAAAGAGTATCTGCATTTTAAATTATGATAGTCTTTGCTAAACTGTGCTCTACATAGTTTATCAGGGTTTAAAAAAATATGGACACGTCAGTAAGCCCTCCAGTTCAGGGAAAACTAAGATGAAAGAGTAAATTCTCATAATATAGCTGCAATTACTAAGCAAAGATGTTTTGGAAGATTTGCAACTAAATAAACCAAGATACTTATTAAATTTATAGTGAATGACAAGACGAATATATAGTGAATGACACAAAAAAGAGGTTTATCCAGGCCTCCCATTATCCCAAAATCTCTTCTATTAAATTAAGGTCAATAATTTTAATTTGAGATTTATAACCTAATTTCTAAGAGGACTTAAATTATTACATGTTAAAATACAAGATAAAGAGGATTAATCATAAAATCATGTAAATAAATTAAAAGATTAGATACTGTAATAGATGGTATAGCCACAAACTAATCTTCCAAACTTGGCCGCCATTGATTATTTCCTTTCCAATGTGCACATGTCATTCCACCTATCAAGAGATGAGGCTTTATTTCCCAGTCCCTTGAATCCTGGCTGGCCTTGTGACTTGCTCTGACCAGCAGGAAGAATGTGGTCAAAGTGACATTCTGAAACTGCAGGAACCCAGAAGACTGGTAGCTTCCCCTTACTCCCTCTTCTTGGAAGTCAGAAGCCATGTGAGAAATCCAACTACTCTGACACCACAATGCTGAGGAGATGCCATGTGGAGGCATACAAAAGTGTCAGACATGTGAAGAAAGCCTGAGACTGTCCAGCCCACACCAGTTACCAGCTGAGTAAGTGATCCCAACCGATGCCACACAGAGCAGAAGAATCCCCTATCTGAGCCCTGCTCAAACTCCTGATCCCCAGAATTGTAAAAATTATAAATCACTGCTGTAGACAATTGAAAAAGATACTATCAAGCTCGTGATATCAGCAAATTACAAACACCAAGTGTCAAATTTGGGTCCATGTTTTCCAGGTTATAAGTTTTCATTTTTCAGTAAGAAGAAAAAGAAAACATGTAATTTTTCTATCTTAATTAGATGCACTTGTACAAAGAACAATGAACCTAGGACTATAGTTTCAAATATAATTTTAGAAAATTTTAGAAAATGCACATCATTCAAATGATGTTTCTTACAGATTGATTCTATACAGACAAATAACATATTAAATCAGAACTCAGCACAGGCATTTTCATGTCAGAGGAGACTAAGATGATGTGGTCTTGATACTTTTGTTCTCTAAAGACTTAATACAAGAAACTACATGAATGCATAATTAAGATATTCATTAGTCTGTCTTGTATCTGATGTGGATTTTTTGCATTAAGTGAGCTTTTTTTTTTTTTTAAGAGATGGGATCTTGCTCCGTAGCCCAGGCTAGAGTACAGCAGTACAATCATAGCTTCAGTGAACTTTTGATAGACACTAAATAGCTGTCAGTTTGTGATTAAATCCAATAAAAACAGGCTGGGTGTGGTGGCTCATGCCTGTAATCACAGCACTTTGGGAGGCCAAAGCAGGTGGATCACCTGAGGTCAGGAGTTCAAGACCAGCCTGGCCAACATGGTGAAACCCCATCTCTACTAAAATACAAAAATTAGATGAGTGTAGTGGCATGCACTTGTAATCCCACCTACTCAGAAGGCTGAGGCAGGATTGCTTGAACCTGGGAGGCAGAGGTTGCAGTGAGCCGAGATCGTGCCACTGCACTCCAACCTGGGCAAGAGAGCGAGACTCCGACTCAAAAAAATAAGTAAATAAATCTAATAAAAACACAGAATAAATATTCTATAAGGCTGGTTAAATTTAGAGCCACATACGTAAAGAGTACAAGTATCTACCTCTCCCCACAAACTGTTCCCTCTGAGATCACCAACATTCTTTAATGCTATATCCTATGTAAATACCTTGGTCCTTGACTTATCTGATCTCAAACAGAATCTATACAAATAACCATTCCTCTCAGTCACCAAGTGCAGCCCATACTCAAGGGGGTGGTAGGAGGTGGGGGGTTAAGTTCCACTTCCTTGAGGAGGGGAGTGTCTGCACAAATTATTTGGAATTCTGTACAAGATAAATAAGTGGGGACAGTTATTTATTTAACCATTTATTTTAATCAGTGTGGACTTAGGGATATTTATTTTATGCTTTGGGTCATAATCCAATAATGCAATATTATTTATTTTATTGCTCAAATTGTTCCAGCTTCAGTCACTGGGTGCTCTTTCAGTTGGCTCCTGTATCCCTTTACCAACCCCCTGTCCTTTTGCATTTTGCATATTTTCTTATTTTCTGGCACTCTACAATGTTCCAGGCTCATCTTGCAAATTCCCTGCCCCGGCCCAAGAATCAGCCATTTTCCAGGGAGCCTTAGTTCTTTCTATTGGAGAGTGGTATTAGAAACCAAGATCTGATGCTGGGTGTGCTCATGCTACTGGGTTGTCACTGCTCCTAGGCCCTCTCAGCAGACAGAGCTAGTAAATAAATGTATGTATACTAGGCTATGTATACATACATATCTGTATTTATTTCTGAATCTGTATCAATATTAAGGTAAATGTGTGTTCAATGCTTATGTTTCAAACTCTAATTCAGTACCACATGGTTCATTCTAGCCTTCTTCCTGCCTGTGGTTACCTCACTCTCCAAAAATGAGAAAACTAGTTCCCATGATTCACCATTCATTTACTTATTTTTTTAATCCCAATATACATGTGCAATGTTTTTTGAATTGTTAGCTCACACTCTACTGAATTTCTGTCCTACCTTTTTCTTTTGAAAGTCTTATTAACAGAATCTTCTTTTATTTTTTCTTGAGACAGGGTCTCATTCTGTCACCCAGGGAGGAGTGCAGCAGCACAATCATGGCTCACTGTGGCCTCAACTTCCTGAGCTCAGGTGCTCCTCCCACCCCAGCTGCCCTAGCTGGGACTACAGTGCATACTGCCATGCCCAGCAAATTTTTTGTATTTTTTGTAGAAATGAGGTTTTGCTATGTTGCCCAGGCTGGTCTCAAACTCCTGAACTCAAGCAATCCACCACCTTGGCCTTCCAAAGTGCTGGGGTTACAGGCATGAGCCACCGCACCCAGCCAGAATCCTCATTTTAGAAGCACGTGTTCCTAAGATCCTTGACCTGGATCACCTCTTCCATCTCCGCACATTTTACTTGAGTTATCTTTCATATCCACAACTTTACTTTCCAAATGCTGATACTTTCCAAATCAGTATCTCCAACCCAAATCTCTCTCCTAAACTTCAAACCCACTTATCCAACTACCAGTTGGATCTCAAGTTAGGTGTCTCATAGGCATCTCAAACTGAACTCAACCATCCTTCCCTAATCTTCTCCTCCAGGGTTTATCTACTGAATGACACCATCATCATCATCTACCTATCTGCATAAGCCAGAAATTTAAGACTAGGTTGGTCCTCTTCTCTCTACTCTCCCTAGTAACTAACCACCAAAGCCTAAATCTTTCTCAAATACATCTCCATCCTTATGATCCTCCTACTGTAGCCAATCTAACATTACCTCCCACCTAGAAAAATTTCTTGTTAGAACAAATGAATACACAAGACAGCTTCTTAATTGATCTCCCTACCTTTAATTTTACCTGGCTCTAATCCATTCACACTACAATCTGAGTAATTTTTCTAAAAAACAAACCAGATCATATCACTTTTCATTATTAAAATATTTCAATAGATTCCCATTCCTCTCAGGATAAAGCCCAACTGCCCTAACATTGCTTTCAGGGCTGTGTGATATAATACCTAGTGACCTCTTTCCTGTCATCCTTCTCTCACTTTATGCCCTCTGCAATCAACTAATCTGAAATCTTCTCAATTTCTCTCTCCTGTCTTCTTGTCTCAATTCAGATGTTCCTTCTTTAGAAAGCCATCTCTGCCTTCCCTGTTCATCTAGGTTAAGTGCTCCTGTTCTACGCTCACATTCAATTATGTGGTCCATCCACTGTAGCAACCATCACACTACATTGTAGTATCTGTTTATTTTGTATCCCTTGCTAGACTAGAAACTCAATCTGAGCAAAAAAATCACATTATCTCTGCTACGATTTGATTTGTCCCCTCCAAAACTCATCTTAAAACTTGATCCCCTAGGTGGCAGTGTTGGGAGGCAGGGCCTGGTGGAAGGTGTTTGGGTCATGGGGGCAGATCCCTCACAAATAGATTTAATTCTCTTCTGTGGGAGTGAGTTTTCTCAGGACTGGATTAGTTACTGCAAGAGTAGATTGTTATAAAAGCAGGTTGTTATAAAAGGAAGTTTGGCTTCCTAGAATTCTCTTGCTTCCACTCTCACGATGTGATCTCTTTGTACATGCCCACTCCCTTTTCTGCTTTTCCACTGTGTTTTGACCCAGCACCTGGTCCTCACCATAAGCCCCTAGATGGAGCACTAAGCTCCTGAACTTCCCAGCCTGCAGAATCATGAGCCCAGTAAACTTTTATGAATTACCAGTCTCAGGTATATTCTGTTATAGCAATACAAAACAGAATAAGACAACCCTGTTTGTCATTGTATCCTCAGAGACTAGCTCTCTGCCCAGCACAACAAATGCTTAAATACTTTTGAGTTTCCATTTTTGTTATTTCTGTGGCTTAGACTTAGTGACGATTTTACAAGTAATCAAAATAAAATCCCCTTGTAAGGTACAAAGTTTAATATTAATCTGTTAAATCAAGTTTACTAATTATATTATTCTAAAGAGTATTCTCTTGGATATATTCTTCAGAAAAAGTAAAAAGTTAGTATAATTTCTGAAACCTTGTCTGTCTGGAAATCTCTCTTTAGCCTTTGTATGTCAATGACAGTGTAGCAAGGTATAAAATTGAGGTTACATCATCTTCTCCTCTTACGAACTTGCAGAGAGACCAACATCACCTACAACAGTAGTTCCCAAACTCCAAGCCCAAAACCAATGCTATTTGGCGATAAAGTTTTCACTAGTCCTCAGTACAATCAAAAACAGTGACAGTATTATTTAACCTAAAGCAAAAATTATTGTTATATTTTATATCCTTGTTTAGCCAAAAAAAAGTGTATAATTTATGCCAGTCATCCAAATTTTCTACTAGAATCGTATAGTCTATTAATTCAAAGATCTTAAATTCTCTGATCCAGCATTTTTCATTAAATAGAAGACTGGATTCCAACCTGATTGTCTTCCCTTTGAAAATCATTTGGTTCCCCCCTTTGAATATTTGTAGAATTTTCCCTCTTATCCTTGAACATCAGAAATGTGACTAGCACATTCACTAATCAGGTTAGTTCTTTTAAAAGTTAAAGTCTTCAATTTAGCTACATTTTCAACACTTTCTGTATTGTTTGACTACTTATGCATCATCTCTGTTCTTTTAGAACACCCAATTTATATATACCAAATTTCTTGCATCTATCTACTCTATTACCTTCTTGGTCATGATCTCCATGTCTATCTTCCCATAACTCTGGAACATCAATTGAACTAGTCTTTTAACTCACTAGTATTATTTCCTGGAGTATCCAATCTACTTTTCATTATTATTAATTTTAGTTCAATATTAATGATTTTGTTTTCCAAAATCTTTTTCCTGTTCTCAGAGTGCCTTCTTGTTCATAATAATCCCCTCTTAAATCTCACTGCACTGAGTCTATGAATTTAAATTTTTAAAGTCTGATGCAGTGTCATAACTATTTCACAGGCAGCCATCTGCTATGAAAACTCAAATTATATCTTCTTTAGAACTTCTGAGTCTTATTCCTATGAATTTTCTGTTGGCTCACACTACAAGAGGGATGGCCATGTTCTTCCAGAATCTGAAGCTGAGAAAGGCTCTCTCAAGGATTATTTAGATCAGTGTTAAAATCTTTTTCAGATAATTTCCCCTTTATGTCAAAAAATCTTTTTCAGATAATTTCCCCTTTATGTCAACTTTGGAAATCAAAAACCAACTGGGGCCACAACCTCTCCTAGCCTCCATAGTAGCCTTAATCCAGCCAATGCACTGGCTCTGTGTGTCAGTTAGGATTAGGTTCCATTGCACATGACAAATACCAGTAGTCTGTATAAAAGAGAGTTTTATTTTTCTCTCACATAACAGATCTGGAGGAAGGTAGTTCAGCTGTTCCTGTTTTGGTCATCTCTTAGTTATCAAATCACTACTCAGTCCTTTCTTATCCTTTGGTAATCTGGCACTGCTGACCACTCCATTACTTCTCTGGTTTCCATGACATGATTCTTGGTTCACCTCTCACTCTTTCAACCATTCTTCTCTCCCTTGCCTGCAGGCTCCCCTTCTTCAACGTAGCTCTCAAACAGTAGTGGTCATTTTGTCTCACAGTATATTCATTCTTCCTGAGCAACTTCACCCATGAACTGCCATTATCAACTACCATTATCACTTATACATGACTTCCCAATTGTCCTCAACCCCAGACATTTGAGTTCCAAATCCATATATCCACTAGCCTAACAGACTATAACACTTTTTCGTGTGGTTGTCTCACAAGCATCTCAATCTCAGCATGCCCAAGTGAGATAGTAGTATCTTTCACTCTCATCCCCAAAATGCTTTTACTGTTGCATTTGCTACCATGGTTTCTGGCAATACCATCTCTCCACTCAACCAATCAAGAAACCTAAGAATAGTCTAGAATCCCCCTTCTGTCTCATTCCCACACATATGTCTTCTTAATTCTACATATTTAACATCTCTTTTGTTTGTCTCCTTATGCTGCTATCTAAGTTCAGGATCTCATTATATCACTGGATCATCAAAAAGGGCCAGTTCTGGCCAGGTGCGGTGGCTCACACCTGTAATCCCAGCACTTCGGGAGGCTGAGGCAGGCGGATCACTTGAGGTCAGGAGTTCGAGACCAGCCTGGCCAACATGGTGAAACCTCGTCTCTACTAAAAATATAAAAATTAGCCAGGTGTGGTGGCACGCGCCTGTAATCCCAGCTACTGGGGAGGCTGAGGCAGGAGAATCACTTGAACCTGGGAGGCAGAGGTTGCAGTGAGCCAAGATCGCACCACTGCACTCCAGCCTGGGTGACAAAAGCGAAACTCCGTCTCAAAAAAAAAAAAAAAGCCAGTTCTCCCAGCTATCAATCATGCACAGTTCTAATCCATCCATCTTGGCACCAAAAAGACTGTTCCATTTCAACAACTATATTTTTCATTCCCCAGATCTCTAATTGACTCTTTTAAATAAATGCCTACTCTTGTTTTATAGCCACTTGTTTTTGTTAAGGATATAATAAATTCCCTATCTGTCTAAAAGTATTAGGTACACATTTTAGAACTCTGTTCTAGTAACTTTTTATTTGATCCTAAGTTCTTTTTTGTTGATTCTTTTTTATAGTGTTGGCTTTCCTGAAACATTTAAGAGATTCTTATCTTTGTACTTGGGATTCTGTTACACTCTGTAGGCTTTTGGTACAGCTCACTCAGGAGCAGTACTTATCTCATATTGCTTTCAGTGGGAGAGAAGGAGAAGCAGAACACGTCACAGACAGGGTTCTCAGTCCTTCGTCTTCTAGACATGAATATAGCCAGTTACCCCCAACTGCTTCCTACTCTCATAGACTCAGGGCTCCTACATGCAGTTCTCACATGGAAACAGATCCTTTACTTTGCTCAAGTTGGTGTTAGAATACATAGATGTTGAAGCTGCTTGGTTGCTCATGTTGCAGTAATGCTAATGAATTACCCTATTGATTATTCTGGGACCCTTCCTAGCCTCTTACCTATGGTATGAGTGTTACCCACAGGACCTCCTATTTATGTTCAGAAATTCTTCACAGTTTTTGATTTATGGAGAGTTCCTCTTCTTGTGTCTATACATGGCCACATTCAAATTTTTCTATTACTTCTATAGGTTTGGTGAAGGAATACAAAAAGGTAGTGAAGGTTCAGTCTGCCTTTGTGAAACTGGCCAGAATAAGTATTCTGAAATGCAAATCACATCATGAATCTGTCCCTTGCCCAGCTTAAAACTCTTCATGGCTTCTGATTTCCTATAGACAGACTCTAAATGCCTTAGTATATGCAAAGCCCTCTATGATCTAATTGATGACTTCCTACACCTGCTCTTTCCCCACGCAATATCCCTCATGAAGCAGCCACACCTAAGTATTCAGTAATTATGGGAGGCCATACACAACATGCTTTTTCAGGCCTTCATATCTTTGCATTCATCATTCCTTTTGTCTCTAATGCTTCCTTCCCCAACCCTGACTCTTTTTATTATAGTATTCTAGGCATTGTACAAAACCCACTTTCAGAGGCCAGGCATGGTGGCCCATGCCTGTAATCCCAGCACTTTGGGAGGCCAAAATGGGAGAATCACTTGAGGCCAGGAGTTCAAGACCAGCTTCATCAATTTTGTGAGACCCCCATCTCTTAAATGGGGGGGAAAAAACTCACCTTCAAATGGGTAAGAAGGAATGCATATTAAGTTATTAATAGTGGTTGTTTTCTTGATTTTTGCTTATCTGTACTTCCTAACTTTTACACGTTAAGAACATACAGTATTTTATTAGGGGGACAGGTCTTTGAATTTTAACGCTCTGCTTAGAGGTCCTGTCCTCTGTAAACTCTTACTTGACTAGTCAAAAGAAGATTCACTTCCTCTTTGTATCACTACGCTGTCATGTTACATCCCTTTTTAACTACACTATATCACATTTTTTTTCTTCCCCTACTAGACTGTAATCTCCTTGAGGACAGAGTCTGTTTTCTTCATCTTTCTCTCCCCAGAACCTAAAAGAATCTGAAGTCTCGTACATGACAAATAAATGCTGGATAAACATCAATGAAATCAGAGCAACTGGGAAGGGGCAGTTTTAAGCTCATATGAACTGGTCTTGGAAAGTCACTTAACTTTTCCTTCAAGAAAAAATAGAATAAAAGTATATACAGACATTTAGAGGTGGTGAGGAAGTCTACGCAGTCATAGACTTTTTAAGCTGGAAAAGATTTTAAGAGAACATCGCATCCAAGCTCTCAAGTTACAGATTAAAGAATTACATCCCAAACAAGTAATTGACCTGCTCAAACTCAGAGCTTCTGGCAGAATATGGATTTGCATCCAGATCTTCTGATTCCCGTTACAAAAGTTCATTCAATTTCAATGACTTACTCTATTGCTTTTCCAGTCTTTCGAGGTTTTGGAAAGGATAATACCATCTTAATAGTTAAAAATTACTCGAAAATAAAAGTTCTCCTAACATGCACTATTGCCTCAATTTTAGTCTATGAGCATTCTGCCAAGACTTGCTTTTGAATATGACTGTTCTTTGAGGCAGCTACTAGTGCCCAAACCAGGGATGGAAAGGTAAAAAGTATTCATTTCAGGCCATAAACCTGCTTTTATATCAAGTGACCAAATAACATACACATATATAACACTTGCTATTTTAATAGATATAGTCTGTAATTTCATCAGATACACTAAAAACAAACATTTAAAAAGCTATCTCTTAAGAAAAATAAAATAAAAAGTCATTTCTTAACACTGAAGCAAGATAAATTTCTTAACTTCCATAAGTGTGGGATTACCAGGAAGGAAAAGTATTTGTCAGTTTGTTTTTGCTATGGATTGTCCCCTTCTTAGACACAAAAAGTTAGCAGATACAGAATTGCAATCAAAACAGAATTTCCACTATGTTAGTTTTCTTTTTTTAACAAGTTTTATTGTATATATTTGAGATTTACAGCATAACATTATGAGATATATATAGATAGATAGAAACATGATTGCTACAGTGAAGCAGATAATAACTTATTACCTCACATACTTTTTGTGACAAAAGCATCTAAAATCTACTTATTTAACAAAAACCCCTAACATAATACAACTTTATTAACTTTGATCTTTGCGTTGTTCATCAGATATCTAAACTTGTTCATCCTATACATCAGCTATTTTGTATCCTTTGACCTACATATCCCCATTTCCTCACCTTTCTCCCCAACATCCCACCTGTGGTAACCAGTTTCATTCTCTATCTCTGTGCATTTTATATATATACAGAGAGAGAGAGAGAGACACACACACACACACATACATATATTATATATATATACACACACAAATATATTATGTATATATACACACACACACATATATATATAATCTCCCACATATAAGTGAGATCATACAATATTTTTCCATGTCTGACTTACTTCACTTAGCATAATGTCTTCCAGGTCCATCCGTTGTGGCAAATGGCAGGATCTTCTTTTTCAAGGCTTATATAATTTTCGTGTTTGTGTGTCTGTGTGTGTGTGTGTGTGTGTGTGTGTGTATGTATCACAGTTACCTTATTGATTTGTCCATAAGTGGACACCTAGGTTGTTTCTGTATCTTGACTATTGTGACTAATGCTACAATGAACATGGGAGTCCAGATATCTTTTTTTTTCCAGTAGCTTTTGGGGTACAGGTGGTTTGGGGTTACATGGACGAATTGTATAGTAGTGAAGTCTGAGATTTCAGTGCACTCATCACCTAAGTAGCATACGTTATACCCAATATGTAGTTTTTTTTACCCTTTGCCCCCTCTCCCAACCTCCCCTTTCTGAGTCTCTACAGTCCATTATATCTCTCTGTATGCCTCTGTGTACCCATAGCTTAGCTCCTACTTATAAGTGAGAACATGTGGTATTTGGTTTTCCATGCTTCAGTTACTTCACTCAGAAAATGGCCTCCAGCAAGTATCAGGCAGTAGTATTTGCTGTTCTGCAGTATCTGCTGTTCTGCAGCCTCCACTGGTGAGACCCACACAAACAGGGTCTGGAGTGGACCTCCAGCAAACTCCAACAGACCTGCAGCTGAGGGACCTGAGTGTTAGAAGGAAAACTAACAAACAGAAAGGAATAGCATCAACATCAACAAAAAGGACATCCACACCGAAACCCCATCTGTAAGTCATCAACATTAAAGACCAAAGGTAGATAAAACCACAAAGATGGGGAGAAACCAGAGCAGAAAAGCTGGTTTCTAAAAACCAGAGCGACTCTTCTTCTCCAAAGAATTGCAGCTTCTTGCCAGGAACGGAACAGAGCTGGATGGAGAATGACTTTGATGAGATGACAGAAGTAGGCTTCAGAAAGTCAGTAATAACAAACTTCTCCGAGCTAAAGGAGCATGTTCTAACCCATTGCAAGGAAGCTAAAAACCTTGAAAAAAGGTTAGGCGAATGGCTAACTAGAATAAACAGTGTAGAGAAGACCTTAAATTACCTGATGGAGCTGAAAACCACGGCACGAGAACTTTGTGACGCATGCAGAAGCTTCAATAACCGATTCAATCAAGTGGAAAAAAGGATATCAGTGATTGAAGATCAAATTAATGAAATAAAGCGAGAAGACAAGGTTACAGAAAAAAGAGTAAAAATAAACAAACAGAGCCTCCAAGAAATATGGGACTATGTGAGAAGACCAAATCTATGTTTGATTGGTATACCTGAAAGTGATGCGGACAATGGAACCAAGTTGGAAAATGCTCTTTAGAATATTATCCAGGAGAATGTCCCCAACCTAGCAAGGCAGGCCAACATTCAAATTCGGAAGTACACAGAACACCATAAAGATACTCCTCGAGAAGAGCAACCCCAAAGACACATAATTGTTGGATTCACCAAGGTTGAAATGAAGGAAAAAGTGTTAAGGGCAGTCAAAGAGAAAGGTCGGGCTACCCACAAAGGGAAGCCCATCAGACTAACAGCGGATCTCTTGTCAGAAACCTTACAAGCCAGTAGAGCACGGGGGCTAATATTCAACATTCTTAAAGAAAAGAATTTTCAACCCAGAATTTCATATCCAGCCAAACTAAGCTTCATAAGTGAAGGAAAAATAAAATTCTTTCCAGACAAGCAAATGCTGAGAGATTCTGTCACCACCAGGCCTGCCTTACAAGAGCTCCTGAAGGAAGCACTAAACATGGAAAGGAACAACCAGTACCAGCCACTGCAAAAACATGCCAAATTATAAAGACCAGCAATGCTATGAAGAAACTGCATGAATTAACGGGCAAAATAACCAGCTAACATCATAATGACAGGATCAAATTCACACATAATAATATTAACCTTAAATGCAAATGGGCTAAATGCCCCAATTAAAAGACACAGACTGGCAAACTGGATAAAGAGTCAGGACCCATCAGTGTGCTGTATTCAGGAGACCCACTCACGTGCAGAGACACACATAGGCTCAAAATAAAGGGATGGAGGAAGATCTACCAAGCAAATGGAAAGCAAAAAAAAAGCAGGGGTTGCAATCCTAGTCTCTGATAAAACAGACTTTAAACCAACAAAGATCAAAAGAGACAAAGAAGGCCATTACATAATGGTAAAGGGATCAATTCAACAAGAAAAGCTAACTATCCTAAATATATATGCACCCAATACAGGAGCACCCAGATACATAAAGCAAGTCCTCAGAGACCCACAAAGAGACTTAGACTCCCACATAATAATAATGGGAGACTTTAACACCCCACTGTCAATATTAGACAGATCAATAAGACAGAAGGTTAACAAGGATATCCAGGTCTTGAACGCAGCTTTGCACCAAGCAGAACTAATAGACATCTACAGAACTCTCCACCCCAAATCAACAGAATATACATTCTTCTCAGTACCACATCCCACTTATTCTAAAATTGACCACATAATTGGAAGTAAAGCACTCCTCAGCAAATGTAAAAGAACAGAAATCACAACAAACTGTCTCTCAGACCACAGTGCAATCAAATTAGAACTCAGGATTAAGAAACTCATTCAAAACTGCACAACTACATGGAAACTGAAAAAACTGCTCCTGAATGACTACTGGGTAAATAACGAAATGAAGGCAGAAATAAAGATGTTCTTCAAAACCAATGAGAACGAAGACACAACTACCAGAATCTCTGGGACACATTTAAAGCAAAGTGTAGAGGGAAATTTATAGCACTAAATGCCCACAAGAGAAAGCAGGAAAGATCTAAAATTGACACCCTAACATTACAATTAAAAGAACTAGAGAAGCAAGAGCAAACAAATTCAAAAGCTAGCAGAAGACAAGAAATAACTAAGATCAGAGCAGAACTGAAGGAGATAGAGACACAAAAAACCCTTAAAAAAAAAAAATCAATGAATCCAGGAGCTGGTTTTCTGAAAAGATCAACAAAATTGATAGTCCTCTAGCAAGACTAATAAAGAAGAAAAGAGAGAAGAATCAAATAGATGCAATAAAAAATGATAGAGGGGATTATCACCACCGATCCCACAGAAATACAAACTACCATCAGAGAATACTATAAACACCTCTACACAAATAAACTAGAAAATCTAGAAGAAATGGATAAATTCCTGGACACATACACCTTCCCAAGACTAAACCAGGAAGAAGTTGAATCTCTGAATAGACCAATAACAGGCTCTGAAATTGAGGCAATAATTAATAGCCTACCAACCAAAAAAAAGTCCAGGACCAGACGGATTCACAGCTGAATTCTACCAGAGGTACAAAGAGGAGCTGGTATCATTCCTTCTGAAACTATTCCAATCAACAGAAAAAGAGGGAATCCTCCCTAACTCATTTTATGAGGCCAGCATCATCCTGATACCAAAGCCTGGCAGAGACACAACAAAAAAGAGAATTTTAGACCAATATCCCTGATGAACAACGATGTGAAAATCCTCAATAAAATACTGGCAAACTGAATCCAACAGCACATCAAAAAGCTTATCCACCACAATCAAATTGGCTTCATCCCCAGGATGCAAGGCTCGTTCAACATACGCAAATGATAAACATAATCCATCACATAAACAGAACCAATGACAAAAACCACATTATCTCAATAGATGCAGAAAAGGCCTTCAACAAAATTCAACAGCCCTTCATGCTAAAAACTCTCAATAAACTAGGTATTGATGGAACATATCTCAAAATAATAAGAGCTATTTATGAGAAACCCACAGCCAATATCATACTGAATGGGCAAAAACTGGAAGCATTCCCTTTGAAAACCGGCACAAGACAGAGATGCCCTCTCTCACCATTCCTATTCTACATAGTGTTGGAAGTTCTGGCCAGGGCAATCAGACAAGAGAAAGAAATAAAGAGTATTCAATTAGGAAAAGAGAAAGTCAAATTGTCTCTATTCTCAGATGACATGATTGGATATTTAGAAAACCGCATCGTCTCAGCCCAAAATCTCCTTAAGCTAATAAGCAACTTCAGCAGTCTCAGGATACAAAATCAATGTGCAAAAATCATGAGCATTCCTATATACCAATAACAGACAGAGAGCCAAATCATGAGTGAACTCCCACTCACAATTGCTACAAAGAGAATAAAATACCTAGGAATCCAACTTACAAGGGATGTGAAGGACCTCTTCAAGGACAACTACAAACCACTGCTCAATGAAATAAAAGAGGACACAAACAAATGGGAGAACATTCCATGCTCATGGATAGGAAGAATCAATATCGTGAAAATGGCCATACTGCCTAAGGTAATTTATGGATTCAATGCCATCCCCATCAAGCTACCAATGACTTTCTTCACAGAATTGGAAAAAACTACTTTGAAGTTCATATGGAACCAAAAAAGAGCCCACAATGCCAAGACAATCCTAAGCCAAAAGAACAAAGCTGGAGGCATCATGCTACCTGACTTCAACTATACTACAAGGCTACAGTAACCAAAACAGCATGGTAATGGTACCTAAACAGATATACAGACCAATGGAACAGAACAGAGGCCTCAGAAATAACACCACACATCTACAACCATCTGATCTTTGACAAACCTGATGAAAACAAGCAATGGGGAAAGGATTCCCTATTTAATAAATGGTGCTGGGAAAGCTGGTTAGCCATATGTAGAAAGCTGAAACTGGATCCCTTCCTTATACCTTATACAAAAATTACTTCAAGATGGATTAAAGATTTAAATGTTAGACCTAAAACCATAAAAACCCTAGAAGAAAACCTAGGCAATACCATTCAGGACATAGGCATGGGCAAGGACTTCATGTCTAAAACACCAAAAGCAATGGCAACAAAAGCCAAAATTGACAAACAGGATCTAATTAAACTAAAGAGCTTCTGCATGACAAAAGAAACTACCATCAGAGTAAACAGGCAACCTACAGAATGGAAGAAAATTTTTGCAATATACCCATCTGACAAAGGGCTAATATCCAGAATCTACAAAGAATTTAAACAAGTTTACAAGAAAAAAACAACTCCATCAAAAAATGGGCAAAGGATATGAACAGACACTTCTCAAAAGAAGACATTTATGTAGCCACAGACACATGAAAAAATGCTCATCATCACTGGTCATCAGAGAAATGCAAATCAAAACCACAGTGAGATACCATCTCACACCAGTTAGAATGGCGATCATCAAAAAGTCAGGAAACAACAGATGCTGGAGAGGATGTGGAGAAATAGGAACACATTTACACTGTTGGTGGGAGTGTAAATCAGTTCAACCATTGTGTAAAACAGTGTAGCAATTCCTCAAGGATCTAGAACTAGAAATACCATTTGACCCAGCAATCCCATTACTGGGTATATACCCAAAGGATTATAAATCATGCTACTATAAAGACACATGCACACGTATGTTTACTGCAGCATTATTCACAATAGCAAAGACTTGGAACCAACCCGAATGTCCATCAATGATAGACTGGATTAAGAAAATGTGGCACACATACACCATGGAATACTATGCAGTCATAAAAAAGGATGAGTTCACGTCCTTTGCAGGGACATGGATGAAGGTGTAAACCATCATTCTCAGCAAACTATCACATGGGCAGAAAACCAAACACCGTATGTTCTCATTCACAGGTGGGAACTGAACAATGAGAACACTTGGACACAGGGCAGGACACATCACACACCGGGGCCTATCAGGGGGCGGGAGGCTGGTGGAGGGATGGCATTAGGATAAATACCTAATGTAAATGATGAGTTGATAGGTGCAGCAAACCAACATGGCACATGTATACCTATGTAACAAACCTGCACAGGTACACATGTGCACATGTACCCTACAACTTAAATAATAAAAAAGAAAAAGAAAATGGCCTCCAGCTCCACCCAAGTTGCTGCAAAATAGATTATTTTTTTTCTTTTTATGGCTGAGTAGTATTCCATGGTGTATATGCCACATTTTCTTTACCCACGCATTGGCTGATGGGCAATTTGGTTGGTTTCATATCTCTCCAATTGTGAATTGTGTGGGAGTGCAAATATCTTTACAAGGTGGTGATTTCATCTCCTTTGCACATATAACCATAAGGGGGATTGCTGGGTCGTGTGGTAATTCTATTTTTAATTTCTTTAGGAACCTCCATACTGTTTTACATAATGGCTGCACTAATCTACATTCCTACCAACAGTGTACAAAGGTTCCCTTTTCTCCACACCCTTACCAACACTTATTATCTCTTGCATTTTTAATAACAGCTAACCTAATGGGTGTGGGGTGGTACCTCATTCACTATGGTTTTCAACTAAGCCAGTCCACCACAGCCACTCTAGGTAATCTTGCACTTTAACACTCAGAATGCTATAAGAGCATTTTTTATTGTGAGGCTATAATACTGCTGATATGGAGCTATAAAGAAGTCTGATATATAAGAAATCTCCATAAGACTTTGGCCACATAGTAATCAACCCCCTTTAAAAGGTATCTTCAATTCTAAATATTCATAAATATATTTTCATCTCCTCACTCTTCCCCTTCAAGACATTTCTCAGTCTTTCTCTTCTCTACCAGCACTGAAGAGATTTGCAAAGGTCTTATACACCTAAGTCTAAGTGTTATGTGGACTCTGGGCTTTGCCATTTTAAAGTACTAAACAAAATAAAAAGAAAATGCAAATGAAGTGGGCATGAGGCAGACTGGCTAGAATGCCACTGCATATTGTTTATTATGTTTAATTTGCATATAGATGATGAACTGGTGGGAAGTAGCTATGTGGAAACAACAGGTAAATTAAGAATACTTGTCCTCGGCAGAAAAAAGAATACAAAAGTTACCTGAAAGACAAGATGATCAAAAGCCAAAAATCTGAAACACAGACCCAGAACCATATTACTGCAAAAGTGTGTAAGAAATAGGTTTTTCCACTCATCAGATTTGTCTTTACTTCCTCAAAATAAAATACCTGTGATTAGCTAAAAGTTCCATAGTATTAGTCACAAGAAAGATTCTCACTAAAACATTCCAACGTAAATAAATGGGAAGGCAAATTTAACTATTAAACCAGTGATTCTTCTCTAGCTCTTAACAGTGAACAGAGTGATCATTTTTTGCTTAAATCCACACTGTATTGAATATCTTTTGTCCAACACTCTTTCAGATATTCTGCTCACCGACAGCTAAAAGACTTACAAATGTGATGCCAGAAAGATAAGCTACTGTCAACTCTAAACCCGGAAATCTTTGGTTGCAACTCTTTGGATGCACTTTGCAATCTTTAATCTGAATCTATTTAATAAAATGCTATTTCTAAGAAGTAGTAGAGAATTTAGCAATTCACGGTATGTTGTACTGTAAATTTATTTAAAAAAATTGAAAACCACTTTTTTAAAATCTGAAATAGGCTAAAAGTAAAGAATGTCTATATTTTATCACTAGCTAAAATATCTAAGAGTTTAGGTTATATCATTATGCTAAATATGGCTGCTTTTTTATAAAATTAGCAAACATGAGTTTTTATAGCATAACCATCAAGAAAAAAATAGGTAGATAAATTATGCCAGTACTAAAGAGAATATATATCTGACTTCTGTCTCTCAAATATTCTTATGGAGGAAAGTGTTAAAAAGTTAAGCGGTTAAAGGTACTTTCAGGTGAAGGTTAAACTGACAATGCAAACTCTGCCCCAGACCAGGAGCTATGGCTTTTTACCTGTAGCCCATCACTTTAAGAGGCCAAGATGGCAGAAATGCTTGAGGTCAGCAGTTCAAGACCAGCCTGGGCAACACAGCAATACCTTATATCAACAAAATCAATCGATCAATAAATAATTAGCCAAGTATGGTGACACACACCTGTAGTCCTAGCTACTCAGGAGGCCAGGGCGGGAGGATCACTTATGCCCAAGAATTCAAGGCTGAAGTGAGCTAGGATTGTGTCGCTACTCTCTAGTCTGGGCAACAGTGAGAGGTCCTGCCTCTAGAGAAATAAATAACTCTGCCCTAGAAAATGTTGATTAATGACGCAGTATCAACCAATGAACAGAAAAGAACTGTGGTCTGCCTCAGTGCTCAGTCCCAGGTTACCCTGTTAAATATTTTTTTCAATGATTTGTTCTAACAATTCAAAAACTCTTCATCAGGCCGGCACGGTGGCTCATGCCTGTAATCCCAACACTTTGGGAGGCCGAGGCAAACAGATCACGAGGTCAGGAAATTAAGACCATCCTGGCTAACATGGTGAAACCCCGTCTCTACTAAATATACAAAAAATTAGCCAGGCGTGGTGGCGGGCGCCTGTAGTCCCAGCTACCTGGGAGGCTGAGGCAGGAGAATGGCGTGAACCTGGGAGGTGGAGCTTGCAGTGAGCCAATATGGCGCCACTGCACTCCAGCCTGGGCAAGAATGTGAGAGACTGTCTCAAAAAAACAAACAAACAAAACTCTTCATCATATCTGTTGATAACACAAAGCTGAGTAAGCCAGACAATAAATGAAAATTTAAAATGGTAAGTCAGCCAAAGGGTCTAACACTGGGTTAAAAATAAACATAAATTAAGGTGATAAGTACATTAGTACTTGCTGTATTCTTTATATGTTAATAGTTTTATACATTCTTTTGCATCTATTAAATATTTTTAAACTTTTTTTAGGATTTCCACACTCAAAAGAATGAAATTAGCCAGGGGTGGTGGCTCATGCCTGTAATCCCAGCACTTTGGGAGGCTAATATGGGTGGGTCGGTTGAGCTCAGGAGTTTGAGACCAGCCTGGGCAACATGGTGAAACCCCATCTCTACAAAAAAATACAAAAATTAACCGGGTGTGGTGGAACGCACCTGTGGTCCCAGCTACTTGGGAGGCTATGGTGAGAGGATCACTTGAGCCCAAAAGATTGTGGCTGCAGTGAGCCAAGATCAAACCACTGCATTCCAGCCTGGGCAACAAAGCAAGACCTTGTCTCAGAAAAAAAAAAAAAAAAAAGAATGAAATTGGACCCTTATTTGACGCCACAGAAATTAATTCAAATGTAAGACCTGAAACAATAAAGCTCCTAGAAGAAAACACAAGGGAAAGTTTCTTGACAGTGGCCTTGGCAATGATTTCTTAACACAACACACCAAAAGCTCAGGCTATAAAAACAAAAACAAATATATCAAACTAAAAAGCTCCTGCACAGCAAAGAAAACAGCCAACACAATGAAAAGGCAACTTATGGATTGGGAAGAAATATTTGCAAACCATGCTATCTGATAAGGCATTAATATCCAAAATTTATAAAGAACTCATACAACTCAATAGCAAGAAAACATATAACTCAATTAAAAAATGGGCAAAGGACCTCAAAAGACATTTCTCCAAAGACGACATAAAAATGGGCAACAGGTATATGAAAAGGTGTTTTATATCACTAATCACAAGGGAAATGCAAATCAAAACACTATGAGATATCACCTTAAACCAATTAGGATAGCTGTTATTAAAAAGGAAAGAGATAACAAGTGTTGGCAACGGTATGGAGAAAAGGGAACCTTTGTACATTGTTGGTAGGAAATGTGGATTAGTGCAGCCATTATGGAAAATGTTATGGAGGTTCCTAAAGAAATTAAAAATGGAATTACCACATGACTCAGGCAATTCTGCTTCTGGTTATATACACAAAGGAGATTAAATTACCACCTTGTAAAGATATCTGCACTCTCATGTTCATTGCAGCATTATTCACAATAGGTAAGATACAGAAACAAACTAGTCGTCCATTAATCATGAACAAATGAATAAAAAACTGTGGTGTACATATATATACACAGTGGAATATTATGTAAGCCTTAAAAAAGGAGATCCTGCCATTTGCCACAACACGGATGAACCTGGAAGACATTATGCTAAGTAAAATAAGCCAGACACAAAAATAAGAAGATTATATGACCTCACATATGGAATGTTTTAAAAGTCAAATGTACAGAGAGAGAGAATAAAACAGTCATCAGAGGCAAGGGTTGGTGTAGGAAACTGGATGATGTTGGTCAAAAGATACAAAGTAGCAGATATGTAGGATATAAAAGTCTAAAGATCTAATGTACAACATCAGGACTATAATAATAGTATATTTTACTCAGGATTTTTGCTCAAAGAGTAGATAGATGATAGCTGCTCTTACCATGGGGAAACAGTGGTTAACAGTGAGATGATGGATATGTTGATTTGTCTTACTATAGTAACTATTTTACTATATAGTCATTCCTCATATCTGTGGGGGATTAGTTCCCAGACCCCACCCCAGGATACCAAATTATGAGAATGCTCAACTTCCTTATGTAAAATGGTTTGCATATAACCTATGCATATTGTCCTATATACTTGAAATAACCTCAAGACTACTTATACCTAATAAATGTAAACACTATGTAAATAGTTGTTACACTGTATTTTTTTAATCTGTATTATATCTTGTTGTATTACTAAATTTTTTCCCAAATATTTTTGATCTGTGGTTGGTTAAATCCATGGATGCAAAACCCACAGATATAGAGGGCCAACATTACATGTATCTCATAACATCATGTTGTACACCTTAAATATATACAACAGAATTTATTAATTTTTTTTTTTTGAGAAAGGGTCTCGCTCTTGTCACAAAGGCTGCAATGCAATGAGCCTGCACCCAGCCAATAAAATTTATTTTTAAAAACATTTTTCAAAATTGAGGATAAGTAAAGCACAAGAATGAAGAACAGTATGAAGTCTTTCCCCTAGATTATTTCATGGAAATCTCACCACAATCTTAGTAAAAATGATAGCCTATTTTTTTTAAAAAAGGTCGAGACAATAGTCCAAAGACACTTTACTAATAAACGGAGGAACCCAAATATTTCTGCCCCTAAATCCATGGCTCATGTTACTACACCATTTTCTTTTCCATTCTAGAATGAAAACCAATTATGAAAAAAAGTGGTAGAGAGGAAAGAGGAACAGTAAGGGGGAGAAATTTATTAACCTATAGGTTTACATGATCAAAGTAGTTAATGAAAACAAAATGTGGAATAGAGCCATTAAAAAAAAAACTAACTGCAAACTTGGATCACTGTAATCACACTGATTAAACAGACCCATTCTAATCTGAACCACTAGAACCACATCTTACCCATTACATGAGGTTTTGAAATCATAATTTAAAGGAGTTACAAATTAGAGAATATCCATAAGGATTTCCAAAAGAGTCTGAAAACAATGATATCCAAGAAACAATTAGGCCAGGAAAATTTAGCCTGGAAAAGAGAAGCATATAGGAAGACAGAACAGATGTCTGTATTTGATCTTCAAATACAGACATCAAAGCAGTCATCAAGTATCTTAAGCCTGATACACCAAAATGGACACAGACTTGTCCTGTGCAATTTCAGAGAGCAGAACTAGGAGCAATAAGAAGAGAACATAAGGAAGCAGACCTAAGGATGATTATTAGAAATTTCTAACATAAGGTCGGGCTCGGGGGCTCATGCCTGTAATCCCAGCACTTTGGGAGGCTGTGGCGGGCAGATCACTTGAGGCCAGGAGTTTGAGACTAGCTGGCCAACGTGGCAAAACCCCATCTCTACTAAAAATACAAAAAAATTAGCCAGGCATGGTGACGCATGCCTATAATCCCAGCTACCCAGAAGGCCGAGGCAGGAGAATTGCATGAACCCAGGAGGCAGAGGCCGCAGTGAGCCAAAATCGCGCCACTGCCCTCCAGCCTGGGTGACAGAGCAAGACTGTCTCAAAAAAAAAAAAAAAGAACTTTCTAACATAATAAAGACTACAACCTGAAGTAGCTATTTCCACATTACTAAAGATAATCAAGTAGAAGTGAGATCAAATAAATAACCAGTTTCCTTACAAATCTCCGATTCTGCTTTCCTAATCCTTATCCTTAATATGCCACCCTTGTTCTCTGTATCCTTGATTTTATCTGTATGCTAGTCATTTATTATCATTTTATATGCATCTTTCCATAAACTTGACTCACTTTTATCTTTTCCAAATTCAACCTAATCTTTAACTCCACCACTAGTCCCCCAAATTTGGAAAATGAGACTCCACTGAAGAATGAATGAGTTCAGAGCAAGTAAGTGAGAGGTCATTAGATGACAGAATTGAAGAAAAAATGCCTTTACTTCCCCTAAAATGGCCACTGCCTAAAGTACCATCCCTAGTAATTTAATGAAACAATTTGTGTTTTGCAATATTGCACTTTTGTGCACAAGCTCCTCTCCCCTAATTTCACTACCCTCAGATTCTCTAAGGCTCCCCACACCATAGTACCCTGCACTAGCCCTACACTGGCTGCCCAATTTACCATAGTTCTCTGATATCCAAAATTACATTTCTCCCTTCTAATTACAGTTTCCACTCTGTCAGTTCAAAAAATATGAAGTAGGCTGGGTGCAGTGGCTCACACCTGTAATCCCAGCACTTTGGGAGGCCAAGGCAGGTGGATCACCTGAGGTTGGGAGTTCAAGACCAGCGTGGCCAACATGGTGAAACCCCGTCTCTATCAAAATTACCAAAAAATTAGCTGGGCATTGTGGTGGGTACGTGTAATCCCAGCTACTCAGGAGGCTGAGGCAGGAGAATTACTTGAACCCGGGAGGTGGAGGTTGCAGTGAGCTGAGATCGCACCATTGCACTCCAGCCTGGGCAACAATAGTGAAACTCCATCTCAAAAAATATATATATACATACAAGAAGTAGGGGAGGCCAGGCACAGTGGCTCACATAATCTTAGCATTTTGGGAGGCCGAGGCATGAGGATCACTTAAGCCCGGGAGTTCAAGACCAGTGTGGGCAACAGAGTGGGACACCATCTCTACAAAATAATTTAAAAGGCAGCCAGGCATGGTGGTACACATCTGTAGTCCCAGCTACTCAGGAGGCTGAGGTGGGAGGGTTGAGTCCAGGAGGTTGAGGCTTCAGTGAGCCATGATTTGTCACTGCATTCCACCAGCCTGGGCGACAGAGTGCGACCCTGTCTAAAAAACAAAGTAAAATAAAAAGTAAGTAAGTAAAAAAGTAAGTAAAATAAAAAGAAGTTGAAAGGCAATCTGATTTGAACAATTTATAAAAATGATTATAACCTCTTAGCCTAACCGGAAGTATCTGAAAAACATGTATTTGCCTACTCAAATTAATGCTTGATAAACAGAATTTCTGGCAATATAAACTAAAATTTAAAAATCATCAGACAATGGGGATGAAGATATTTTTGTGCAAAGTTTATCATTTGTCATAAAGTTCAAGCTCTGCCTAAAATCAGCTCCCATAAGTGGATTTCTTCACAACTTTTCTCCTTCCTCTAATTTTGGGTCTTCAAATCCTTTAAAAAGCCCAGTTTCTTTTTTTTTTTTTTTTTTTTTTTTTTTTTGAGACAGAGTCCCACTCTGTTGCCAGGCTGGAGTGCCGTGGCACGATCTCGGCTCACTGTACCCTCCACCTCCTGGGTTCAAGCGATTCTCCTGCCTCAGCCTCCCAAGCAGCTGGGACTACAGGCACGCGCCACCACGCCCAGCTGATTTTTGTATTTTCAGTAGAGATGGGGTTTGACCATGTTGGCCAGGATGGTCTCGATCTCTTGACCTCATGATCCGCCCACCTCGGCCTCCGAAAGTGCTGGGATTACAAGCGTGAGCCACCGTGGCTGGCCAAAAAGCCCAGTTTCTTTTTTTTTTTTTTTTTTTTTTTTTGAGACGGAGTCTCACTCTGTCTCCCAGGCTGGAGTACAGTGGCGCAATCTCAGCTCACTGTAAGCTCCATCTCCCGGGTTCACGCCATTCTCCTGCCTCAGCCTCCCGAGTAGCTGGAACTACAGGCACCCACCACCACACCTGGCAATTTTTTTGTATTTTTAGTAGAGACGGGGTTTCACCGTGTTAGCCAGGATGGTCTCGATCTCCTGACCTCGTGATCCACTCGCCTCGGCCTCCCAAAGTGCTGGGATTACAGGCGTGAGCCACTGCTCCCGGCCAAAAGCCCAGTTTCTAACAATGGTACCCATGATGTATGGGGAGAAGGGAGACTCTAATAATAACAATCTATTTAGCAGTTTTTAAAAATAGGTATGATTATTTGTTTTAAAAAGCTGATCGGGGCAGTAAAAACAACTGAGAGAAAGACATCAAGGGAGGACCGAAGGACACAGTCCATGAAGATGTTTTCTGAAATGCATGGATAACCCCAAATGCAAATAATCTACCTACAGATAATTGACTTGACCATACATATAAAAGAGGGTGAAATTACATCGTATTATTTTCAATTAACAAGTAAAATATTTAGAATAATGCCTGATATAAGATAAGCACTCAAAAAGTGCTCACTTCTACAATTATTGGCTTATAATTTCCACTGATTATAGTTTAAGATAATTCTCAATACTCAATCCTCCCTTCTCCTAAGAGTATGAGTACTACAAACTTTAAGACAAATGCAATCTAAATGTATTACCTCTTTCAAATCCTTAAAAGCAAGAATCTTCCTCTAATAATAATGTTGTATTAGATTATGAATTACTAGAAAACATTATAGCTAATAATTAAATTTTTACTTCATCTTTTCCATCGTTGAAAATCTTTAGCCCCCTTCCAATCTATTTTAATATCTGTCCCAAATCATCCCTTGACATACATTTTGATTACTGCATTCTCTTACTCAGTTGTTCTTCCTCCTCCCATTTCTATACCATTGCTAAATCAGGACCTAACCTCCAGCTCTCACAGTTGGGCACTCCGTCTGGTGTACACTCTGGTGTACGCTCTTTGTACCTTTAAAATGCCTTCTAACATGTACCCTTATCAGATACCATTATAATAATTGTTGATATATCTACCTCTACTATAGTTGGAGAGTTCCTTGAGGGCAAGGTCCATATTTTCTTCATTTTTATGAGGCTGGCACACAAAGCTTGAACACTGTAGACTTCTAAATGCTTGCTGAATGAATGACTCTATTCTTTAGGAATAAACTAAATGATAAGAAATTGTTTAATAAATTAGACCACAACTAGATGAAGTGGTGTAGTGTTACTGGATCATCACTATAAAAACTAAGTCATTATGAAAACTCAATAATGAATGTTACAGAAGGTATATACTATGGTGAGTGATTAAGAGAAAATGAGTCAGTCCATGCTACAAAAGCTGTGAGTTCATCCATTCAACAAAGATGTAATGAGAGGCTACTATAAGCCAGGTACTATTCTATTCTGCCCTCATAGAACTTACATTCCATTGGGGAGAGGCAAACAATAAAATATATAATTATATGTTATGTTAGAAGGTACTATGTATGGGGGGCGGGGAGAATAGGGAAGGAAGGGGATTGGAGTGAAGGGGATGAGGATACTAGACAGGATGTCCCACAGCTGACAGAATGGCAATTACCAAAAAGAAAAAAGATAACAAGTTTTGGCAAGGATGTGGAGCAAAGGGAAACCTTATACATTGTTGGTGAGAATGTAAATTGGTACAGCCATTATGAAAAATAGTAGGGAGGTTCCTCAAAAAATTAAAATCAGAGTTATCAAATGATCCAGCAATCCTACTTCTGGGTATACATCAGAGGAAATGAAGTCAGTATATTAAGGAGATCTCCAACTCTCATGTTGACTACAGCATTATTCATAACAGCCAAAATATAAAAACAACCTAAGTATCCAAAGATGGACTAATAGATAAAGAAACTGTGGTATGTGTATGAAATAGTATTTGGCCTTTAAAAAGAAGAAAATCCTGTAAATTGTGACAACATGGATGAACTTGGAGGACTTTATGCCAAGTGAAATAAACCAGACACAGAGGACAAATATTACATGATCTCACTAAATACTTAGAATCTTAAAAAGTTGAACTCATAGAAGCAGAGAATAGAATGATGGTTATCAGAGGCTGAAGACAGGAAGGGGTGGGAATGGGGAGATGTTAGTCAAAGGTTATAAAGTTTCACTTTGACAACATGAATAAATTCTGGAGCTCTATTTTACAGCATGGTAACTATAGCTAATAATAATGCACTGTAAAATTGCTAAGACAATTCTCACCACAAAAACATATGTGAGGTGACCGATATGCTGATCAGCTTAATTTAATCATTTCACAACACATATATATATCAAAATACCATGTTGTATACCATAAGCATGTAACATTTTTATTCATCAATTATACTCTAATAAAGCTGGAGAGAGAGAAAAAATAAACAGGTAGACTTCCTTGATACTCAAGGTAAGATGTGAGCAAAGACCTGAAGGAGTTGAGAGCGTTATGAAGCAAGTATCTGGGGAAAAGAACATCAAAAGCAGGGAGGTCAAAAAAAAAAAGCTAAAGCAAATTCTCCTAAGGCAGGAAGCGGCCTGGAATAGTCAAGGAACAGCAAAGAATGAGCAAGGAAAAAGAACAATAGGAGAGAAGGTCAGAAAGACAACAAGGGCCAGATCATATAGAGCTTTGTAGGACACTACACAGACTTTGACCTTTTCCCATTCACAAGACTTTTTCATTTTATTTTGTTATACTTATAACAGCTTTGAGGCATAATGAACACATAATCAGCTGCATGTGTTTAAAATTTAGTTTTATAAATTTTGACACATGTATACACCAATAAAACCATCACCACAATCCAGATAATGCAATATCCATCACTCTCATAAGTTTCCTTGTGCATCTTATGATCCCTCATTCCCACACTTCCCTGTGCTCAACACAATCTGCAGACAAGCACTGAACTGCACTCTTTCACTATTGATTAAGATGCATGTTCCTGGATTTTAACAAATGGAATCATACAGAATGCACTCTTTTTTGGTTGGCAGCTTTAACTCAAAATAATTATTTTGATATTCATTCAAGTTGTTGGGCATATGGTTATTTCATTTTTATTGATGAGTACTATTCCATTTAATGGATATACCACATCTATCCATTTACCTATTAAGGACGTTTGGATTGTTTCTAATTTGGGAGTATTAAAAATAACATTGCTATAATAAAAACTCATGTTCAAAATGTATATGGACATATGCTTTCATTTATCTTAAGTAAATTGCTTAAGAGTAGAATGGCTGGGTCACATGTTAAGTATATGTTTAACTTTAAAAAAAAATTGTCAAGCTATTTTCCAAAGTAGTGTATGGTTTTACATTCCCACCATAATGTGAGCGTTCCAGTTGCCAACACTTAGTACAGTCAGTCCTTTTAATGTTAGCCATTTTAAAAGGTGTTAGTGATCTCTCATTATGGATTTTATCCACACTTCTGTAATGATTAATTATGTTTATTATCTTTTGATGTGTTCATCCATCATCTGTGTATCTGTTAGTAAACTCTCTGTACAGGTACTTTCCTCACTTTTGAATTAGGTTTTATGTTTCCTTAATATTGAGCTTTGATAACTCTATATATTCTGGAATTAAATCCTTTATAAATGAATTACAAATATTTTTTTCTCAACACATGGCTTGTTCTTTCATACTTTTCAAAAAATACTGCTACTAAATTTTCTGTTTTGGGGGCATCATAGCTCACTGCAGCCTCCAACTTCTGGGCACAAACAATCCTCCCATCTCAGCCTCCCGAGACTATGCCTACTAGTAATTAGGCATGCACCACCTAACCCAGCTAATTTTTTTTTTTTTTTTTTTGTAGAGACAGGGCCTTTGCTGCCCAGGCTGTTCTCAAACTCTTGGCCTCAAACGATCCTCCAGCCTCAGCATCCCAAAGTGCTGGGATTACAGATGTGAGCTACCATGCCCAACCGTGTTTTCTTTTTAATAGTTACAGTGAGATAAGTCATATACCATACAAAAACTTGTACAACTCAATGATTTTTGGTATATTCAAAGATACATGTAACCATCACCATAGTCAATTTTAGAACATATTCATCATCCCAAAAGAAACCCTGTCCCCCAGTCCTTCCAGCCTAGCCCTAAGCAACCAACTAACCTATCTTCTATTTCTATAGAGACCACTCTATAGTGATCTTTTGTGACTGGCTTTTTTCAATTAGCCTAATGTTTTAAAGGTTCATCCATGTTGTAGCACGTATCAGTATTTCATTCCTTTTTATGATTGAATTATAATATTTCATTGTATACATATACATTTTGTTTATCACATATGTGAATGAATCTATTCCAGACTTTCTATTCTGTTCCATCAATCTACTTGTCTGTCTTGAAACCCATACCACCCTATTGTGATTACTATAGTTTTATAATAAGACTTGAAGATAAGTAGTGTAAGTCTTACAACTTTTTTCTTCTTTTTCAAAGTTGTTTTGGCTGTTCTAGGTCCTCTGTATTTCTATATGAATTTTAGAATCAGCTTGTCAACTAGTACCAAAAAATTCCTGCTAGGATTTTGACTGGGATTGCATAGTACACACAGAACACTTGGGGGAAGGTAACATCTTAGTATTTAGTCTTCTGCTGCATAAACACAGTATCTCTCTCCATTTGCTTAGGTTATCTTAATTTCTCTCGGGAACACTTTATAATTTTCAGTGTACAAGTCTTAAACATCTTTTTTTAGATTTATCTCTAAGTACTTCATAGTGCTCGATGTTTTTATACATGGCATTAATTTTTATTTCAAGTTCCAAATGTTCATTGCCAATATACAAAAATACAATTCATGTCTACATATTGATCTTCTATCCTACCTTGTTCAACTCACATATTACTTCTAGTAGCTTTTTTGTAGAATCTATCCGTAGATAATCAATGTCATCTGCAAATAAAAAGTTACTTCTTCCTTGCCAATCTGGATGCCTTTTATTTCTTTTTTTTTTACTTCATCATACAGATTAGAACCTCCAGTATAATGTGGAAGAAAAGTGGTAAGAAGAGATATACTTCCCTTGTCTGTGTTTATGGAGGGAATGCATTTAGTCTTTCGTCATTAAGTATAATGTTAAACCGTAGGTTTTTCATAAATATGCTCCATTTATCAGGTTAAGGAAGCCCTCTTTTTTCTAATTTGCTGAGAATTCTTATCTCTATTTCTAATTTGCTGAATTTTTATCAAATGCTTTTTCTGCATTTATTGAGATGTTCATATTTTTTTCCTTTTTAGTCTGTTAACATGGTAAAATACGTTCATTAATTTTTTAACGTTAAACCAATCTTGCATTCCCAAGGTAACCCCAATCATAATGTATTATACTTTTTATATATTATTGGATTTGACTTGCTAAAATTTTGTTAGGACTTTTAAAATATATGTTCACTCAATAAATGGTTGTTATTACTAGTTATGTTAAATGAGAAACAGAATACAAGAACAAAAACACATAGTAAGAATATCTACACAAAATACATACACTTGTAGACAACTACCAGAAGGAACTATGTAAAAATTAAAAGAGCATAGTGAAATCATGAGGCACATTCCAAAATTCTGATGCTATTACTATATTATCATTTCACTAACTAAAATTCTAAATAATTCCCTTCCTAGTTGTAAATCCTAGCAAATTACCATAATTTTCACTAGAAACACCCAACCATACTATCTCTACCATCCTGTGCCCTAATACAAAGATAAAACAATTTTAAAATGAAAAAGCTAGCAACAACTACGTTCAATGATAAGCACTTCACATGTGTGCTCTGGTGGCTTTGAGTAAAATCTTCCTAAGAACAACCTTGTTTCCAATATTCTAGTTCTAATTGTTTGAGCCAGATAAATAAATACCTGTATGTTAAAGACACGCTTGCTAGGTAAATTAGCCTTCTAGTTTCTGTGAAAGGAAATCTCACAGTGGCAACAACACCCTGTCAGTGTGAAACGGTTCTCGCAGACATAAACCCTGAGAGAGAAACCTCAGCTCCAGATAAGGGAAATCCAAGAAGGGCCTGGCTGTGAGAAAATGCAATGTGTACTCCAGGTACAAATGAAATGCACTTGCTCAGAGGAGAAAGTCGGTACACACTGGGTCTTGGAAAAGGGTGGTGGTGTGCAAACAGAACAGCAGTGACAAGCAGAAGAGATTCCACACAGAACGGAAGGAGAGAGAAACTGAAGGAAAAAAAGGAAGACACTCACAGCAGAAAATATAGTATAAAAAATACAAACTCAATTCTCTACAAGAACCAAAGTAATCAAAATCAATAAATAAATAAAAAATAAGTGTGTAAATGGGGCAACTTTAAACCAATAGGAAAACATGGGGCCTAGACCTAACGGAAGAGATTATGCACTAGCCTTAAAGCATTCAAATTCAAGATACAGTAAAATACTGGGTAGTCTAAACAAAATGGGGTGTGTGTGTGTGTGTGTGTGTGTGCGCGCGTGTGTATATATATACGTATATGTGTATATATACGTATATATACTTGTATATATACGTATATATATACACACGCGCGCACACACACATGCACATATATATGTGGTTGAAGGGGGAGCACAGGAAAAAACACTGGTATATAAAGATATATTTTTAAAATGAAAAAAAAAAAAAAAGAAAGCTGGATAGAAATAGGAAAGTACATTGGAATGAAGGCCAGAGAGGCAACTTCACAGCAATGGGAGTAACAGAGGTATAAGAGAGAAAGTGAGAAAGATGATACTAATACATGGGAGAGGAGAGAAAAGGGTCAGGTATCAGACTGAGAATTGAAGGGGGATTAAACCAAGTTAAAAAAATTCTTAATCTGTATTAATATATTCATTGACATTTCATTAGTGTGGCCATTAGCTTGGATCAGTTAACAGCAGTGACATAATGTCACTGCGTAATGACACAATGTAATGAACTTTTATCTTTGCTCCTCCCCTCAATTAAAAAAAAAAGGCGGGCCGGGCACGGTGGCTCATGCCTGTAATCCCAGCACTTTGGGAGGCCGAGGCTAGCAGATCATGAGATCAGGAGATCGAGACCATCCTGGCTAACATGGTGAAACCCCGTCTCTACTAAAAATACAAAAAATTAGCCAGGCGTGGTAGCGGGCGCCTGTAGTCCCAGCTACTCGGGAGGCTGAGGCAGGAGAATGGTGTGAACCTGGGAGGCGGAGCTTGCAGTGGGCCGAGATCGTGCCACTGCACTCCAGCCTGGGCGACAGAGCGAGGCTCCGTCTCAAAAAAAAAAAAAAAAAAAAAAAAGGCAAAACCTATTTATATTCATAAAGAGAAAAAAATTATTTCATAGGTCAGGGTCCATGTCACTTGTGCCTTTATAACATGCAGAGCAAGGCTCAGTCTATTCAGCCTACCAAGCAGCTAGCATACAGGAGTCAAGCCACCAGAGTGACTGCCTGCTGACTGAGCTAAGGCTCTTCCTTAGTAAGAGCTTCTGAGGCACTAACAAAGAGCAGAAGTAGAACTAAAAGAATAACTTCTTTCTTGAAGGAGCTTCACTGAGGGCTTCTGTTTTTTGTTTGTTTTGTTTTTAACTCCTGGTTCTATAAATTATAGACTAGCTTTAGGAAAAAAACTGAATAAAGTTATAAATCTAGACTAACTTTCAGAAGCCCACCAAATTAATAGCTTTTGTTTAGGGATAGTATTACGTATAGGTAGTCATTGCTTACTTTACTTGCTCTACAGGTTTTTTCTCCCTCCTACTTTTTAACATTTCCCCCTAGTTTCCATAATGTTCCAATATTCTTTTCATAACTTTGGACCAATAATTCAATAATGCAAATAAGCAAGCAAGAAAACAAGACAGCCTTCCTCCAAGTAATATAACATGAATCACTCTTAATCACTCAAAATGCCAAAAGTAGAGATAAATTATTAAAAGGTTGCCAAAGGCCGGGCACAGTGACTCACATCTGTAATACCCAGAACTCTAGGAGGCCGTGGCAGGAGGACTGCTTGAGCCCAAGAGTTTTGAGACCAGCCTGGGCAACATAGTGAGAACCCATCTCTAAAAAAAAGTTTTAAAATATTAGCTGGGCATGGTAGTGTGAACCTGTAGTCCCAGCTACTTGGGAGGCTGAGATGGGAGGACTGCTTGAGCCTGGTAGGCGGAGGTTGCAGTGAGCCATGATCGCGCCACTGCACTCCAGCCTGGGTAACAGACCCAGACCCTGTCTCAAAAAAATAATAAAAATGAAAATAAATAAAAGGGTGCCAAAATAAATGACCCCAAAATAAGTTGTTCCTAAATGCACCTTTAGTAATTTAGGAACGCCATACAAAACATGTTTTTAACAAAAAATTTTTGAAAACAAAAATAATCTTTTTTAGATAAGTTCTTTCTCAATGCTAAATTAGATTAAACAACTTTGGTAACTTATTCCAATGCCTGGAGTCCAAGCAAAGGTCACAGATTGATAAGCACTCTTCTGGCTCACACACTTGCTTCTTAATCCAATGAATCCGTACCATCTCTGTCTTTAAGCTATGGATAACTAATGTAACTTTATTAATTCTGCATATTCACCTAACATTCATTATACTACACTTAATATTTACTTTGCATTAAATTATCCTAGATGTCTTTAACATCAAAATCTTAAGCCATATAAATTTATCTATTTATACGTTTACTTTTTTTTCTTGTTTTTTTTGAGACACTCTGCCCTGTCACCCAGGCTGGAGCACAGTGGCACAATCACCACTCACTGCAGTCTCGACCTCCCAAGCTTAAGCGATCCTCCCACCTCAGAGGCACACCAACACAATCGGCTAGTTTTCGTATTTTTGTAGATATGGAGTTTCCCCATGTTGCCCAGGCTGGTCTCAAACCCCTGGGCTCAAGTGGTCCGCCTGCCTCAGTCTCCCAAAGTGCTAAGATTACGGTTGTGAGCTACCACACCTGGTCCTATATTCACATTTTATTACAGATTATCCTATGCTTATTTTATTAATCTCTTAATAATATTTATTTTAAGTCACAATTGCCAGATACTCACTTTACTTGCTCACATAGAGCTTAATCGAGTAATATATAGGTAATGAAGACTATTACCAATGCTTATGTGACTCAGAGATAAAAAAATTTTGCTATTTTTCTTTTTTTCTTTTTGTTTTTTTCCTTTTTTTTTTTTTTTTTTTTTGAGACAGAGTCTCACTCTGTTGCCCAGGCTGGAGTGCAGTGGCGTGATCTCAGCTCACTGCAACCTCCACCTCCCGGGTTCAAGATTCTCCCACCTCAGCCTCCCGAGTAGCTGGGACTACAGGTGTGTGCCACCACACCCGGCTAATTTTTTGTATTTTTAGTAGAGACAGGGTTTCACAGTGTTAGCCAGGATGGTCTCGATCTCCTGACCTCGTGATCCGCCTGCCTCGGCCTCCCAAAGTGCTGAGATTACAGGCATGAGCCACCGCACCTGGCCTAAAAATTTGCTAGTTTTTAAGTAAACTGGTCAAATGAATTCTGGGTGGCTTTATACCAGAATAAGTTAGTCATAGATCCTGAGCCACACAGTATCAGAAGCCTGTTCATTTGCTAGAATAAATGTTTTCTACACATACCAAGTCCTCCTACAGTTGGCCGGAGAAATTGCTGACCCTAACAGCTGCTAACCATCTAGAACCTTATGAATCCCATTTTAGATAATGCTAAGAAATGAAACACTAGAAATGTTTGAGGAATGTAAAACTCTCACACTCTGACAGTAATGTTTAAATTGGTATATTTTATTAAATAATGTCAAATTATTCTCCAAAGTTGAAGATGCATATACTTTTCAACCAGATTCCAATCCTATACGCAAGCACATATGTACACGTGTGCACGCACACACACACACACATTTTCCTTACAAGCTCTCTATAGAAATGCACATATGTTCACAACCAGTATGTTCAGGAATGTTGACTACAGCATTGTCTAATAATAAAACATGGAAATTACCTAATAACCACCCAGAGGAGCGTGAGTAAGTAAATTGTGATGTAGCCATGAAATAGAAATTGCAGGAAAAAAAGGATGAGAAAAAAAAAGGGTACTGCAAGAGCATATTGCAGTATAGTATGTATCTGAGGTTTAAAACATGCAAAACAATTACATTATATATAGATAACAAATATATTCAGAACAATGTTTCCTCTGGGGAATGTGGAAGGGGTAAAAGAAAGAGGGTACAGAGAAGGCTGAACTCCACAATGTTTTACTTCTTTTTTAAAAAATCTGAAATAAGGCAAAATGTTAAGATCTAAGTTGGGCAGAAGGTGCACGGAATGATTTTTCCACTATTCTTTTCTGCATGTTTGAAATATTTCCTATCAATTCAGGATATCAAGACATCTGAACTGGACGGATGCTAACAAATAGCTAATATCTGACTAAGTAAGGCCAGCAAAGAAGTACTTGTGACAGAAGGCTGTTTTCGCAAGCCTTACTTTCATCTGTGTGTGGTAGAGCCATATGCACCCACACACACAAATCATTTCATTTAATCATCCAATACTGCAAAAATGGAGGAATTAACTCCATTCAACAGAAAAGCGAGTTGAGATCAAAGAAACGGTGTTTTGGCTAAGGTTACGCAGCCAAGCAGTCAGAGATGAGTCCAGATCTATAGGTGCAAAGCACATTTCACAACTGTAGTGTTTCAAAGGAACAGGAGATGCACTTAGAAACTCTTGTTAGAGAGGGGTTTCACTGATAACAAACTCAAGATGAGCCCCAAAGATAGCATGGCTTCCATTAACAGCTTAATTCTGGGTTATATGAAAAGGAAAAACAAAAAAACTATCAGTCAATTACACTCTGTACCACGCTGCACCACTCTGCACATAAGTGAAGTTTAATTTTAGACTCTGAGTTTTAAGAGGACCTTGATAAAATGGGTAGTCATTACCAAGGGCAACATTCCAACTGAAAAAAAGAATAAACTTTCTAGCCATTAGAGCTTTTAAAAACTGAACTGAATTGCTTTAGGAATACAAGCATTTCTCCTACTGCACCGGTGGATATAATGCTCTCATTTAATTATAAAACACTGTGGGTTTTGATCCAATCACCAACTCTCTTTAATTTAAACTGCTAAAAGCAAAATAACTTATTAAACCTATTGAGCTCCTAAACCCCTGTTCCTTCTGAAACTTTTTTTATTTATAAAATGATGTTTGAATAGGTAAGACTTCTTAATATAACTATTGTATTATAGTACAACACACTTCAGTGAACTAACCACCTCTAAAACTGTTCAAACAGTTGAAAGCTCTTCTGTCACAGATGCAGAGGGCTCTACTCTAAGAGATTCAACTGCATAATCAATAAACATCCTCCTAACTTTCACATTCTACGATAAGTGCAAAAGTTAGTACAGTTTCGGTACAGCAAATACTTAGCAGGGAGTCGAGGGTGAAACAAATGAAGTGGCAGAATCATATAGTGATTAAAATATTATCAAGCAAGGTGGAAACTGAAAGTGCTACTGATGTATGTATTTGGAATATAATGAGCTTTTGTCCCCACTGTAAAAAAAAATTGGGATCTAACTCATACCATATAGAAAAATTAACTAAAAATATATCAGACCTAAATGTAAGCACTAAAACTCTTAGAAAAAAAAGACATAAATTTTTGTGACCTTGGATTAGACAATGGTTTCTTCAATATGGCACCAAAAGCATAAGAAGGAACAAAATCAATAAATTGGACTTATCAAAATTAGAAATGTTTGTCCCTCAAAGAATAACCACCAAGAAAGTAAAAAGACAAACTACAGGATGGGAGAATATATTTGCAAATCATATATCTGATAAAGGACTTGCATCCAGAATATATAAAGAATTCTTACAATTCAGTACAAAAGACAACACAATTTTAAAATAAGCAAAAGATCTGAAGAGACATTTCTTCAAGGAAAATGTACAAATGGCCAAAAAGCATATGCAAAACTATTCAACATAGTCATTAGGGAAATGCAAATCAACAATTATAGTGAGATGCCACTTCACTGGAGAATGTGGAGAAATCAGAACCCTCATACACTGCTGCTGGGAATGTAAAATGGTGCAGCCACTTTGTAAAACAGTTTTGCCGTTCTCACAATGTTAAACACAATTATCATATGACCCCGCAATTCATATACTCAAGACAAATGAAAACATATGTCCATGCAAAAACTTGTACATGAAAGTTCAGAGAAGCATTATTCATAGTAGTCAAAATGGATTACAGTGGGACATTATTTGGCCATAAAAAGGAATCAAGTACTGATACATGCTACAACATGGATGAACCTCAAAAACATTACACTAAGTGAAAGAAGTCAGACAAAAGGTGAAATATTGTATGATTTCACTTACATGAAATGTACAAAATAGGCAAATCCATAGAGACAGCAAATAGATTAGTGGGTGCCTGTGGCTGAGGAAGGGAGGAATGGGGAGACACTGCTAACAGGCACGGAATTTCTTTCTGAGGAAACAAAAGTTTGATATTACACAATGGTGATGGTTGTACAACTTTGTGAATATACTAAAAGCTGCCAAATTGTACACTTTAACAGGGTGACTTATGGAATATGATTTATATCTCAAGAAAATGGGAAAACTTTGTTGGGAATACCAGAATGAAATACTAGATATTTCACCACAGTAAAGAGAATATGGCAATAAAGTCCCCAGAGTACAAAAAGAACTGCAAGAAGCAAAGTACCAAGAAAATGTGTCCAGGTCAAGCCCTAAGGCTTTCTGATAAACGCATTACCAAAGTTTACCGAAAATATAGTGCACTACCAGAGACAGTGGCTCACGCCTGTAATCCCAACAGTCTGGGATTACGAAGAGGCTGAGGCAGGAGGATCACTTGAAGCCAGGAGTTCAAAACCAGCCTGGGCAACACAGGGAGAACCCATCTTAACAAAAAATTTAAAAATTAGCTAGGCCAGGTAGTGCATGCCTGTAGTCCCAGTTACTTGGGAGGCCAAGATGGGTCACTTGAGCCCAGGAGTTTGAGGCTGCAGTCAGCTATGATCATGCCACTTCACTCCCATCTGGGCAACAGAGCAAGACCCCGTCTCCTTTAAGAAAAAAAGTGCAGCCGGGCGTGGTGGCTCACACCTGTAATCCCAGCACTTTGGGAGGCCAAGGCGGATCACTTAAAGTCAGGAGTTTGAGATCTGCCTGGCCAACATGGTGAAACCCCATCTCTACTAAAATTACAAAAACTTAACTGGGTGTGGTGGCAGATGCCTGTAATCCCAGCTACTGGGGAGGCTGAGGCAGGAGAATCACTTGAACCCGGGTGGCGTAGGTTGCAGTGAGCCAAGATCATGCCATTGCACTCCAGCCTGGGTGACAAGAGTGAAACTCCGTCTCAAAAAAAGTGCACAGTCCTACACTCTGCCCCAGGCAGGCAGACCTAAAGGTACCAACCTCACTCCTATTTCTTTCTTAGTCTGTCACACATGCAAATATTAGTGGTAAGTACTTTAATAGTTTTATTCATTATAAAATAGTTCAGACAAATAAAGAGGTACTGAAAATAATTTTAATATACATTATATACCCACTACCCAGCTAAAGAGATAAAATATTATACATTCAATTATAATTTCTCCTACTTTTAACAAATATTTGTCCTTTTAGAAAAAAGAATCTGAACTGTGACTATACTCTTTCTCTCTGTTAAACCCATCTGTACTAAGCCTACATATATGGCAAATGGAGTAAAACCAAGACATCATTGTTCACCCAGGGACTCTCAAGCAACCTCTGACATGCAACATTTACCACCTGTAAAATCTCTATCACTCTCAATTTTAACAAGAGAAGAAAACACTTCCACATTTCAACAGCAATAGTAATAGAAATGAAAGTCAGAAAATGACCACAGGGTTCTTTCCATCCAAACTTTTCACTGTCACTTAGTTATAGGCAAAGCCTCCACCATCCACCTTTCCTCATGAATGGTCATCCCAGCGTACTTCTCACTTTAATATCTATCTTATTTTTCAAGGCATTTTCACAAACAACATCTAATTGACCCCCAAAGTAGATAAGGCAGCTATTTGTATACCCACTTTTACAGATATAGAAGAACAAAGTGATTATGAGCACAAGACTGGAGTCAAGCAAGGGCTTGAACTCCCTGTTTCACTATTTCTTAGCAATGTGGCCTTGGACACTTTAATATTTCTGAACTGCAAAAATAAATATGATAATGTCTGGCTTACAGGATTGTTATAAAGATTAGATTACACAATGTATATAAAGCACTTAGCACATAATCTGGTACAAAACAAGCACTAAGTGAATGTAGCTGCTGCTGTCATTGTTGCTGATTTTGTTGATTACGCAAGATCAAACAGCTCCTACACAGAGGAGCCAAGACTGATACCTAGATCTTCTTGATTCCACACAATATTGCTTCATTCTCAAGTGGTCACACCAGGAGTCCTATTTGTACAAAGCAGACTCTATCATTTCCAGACAATGCCTCCCCATTTTCTTCTAGACAACATGGTGATCACTTTAGGATTTTAAGAAGCAAAAGCCAATAGTGATACCAACAACTGCTAACATCACAAAAGATAACCAGAGATTTTGTGTGTCTCACAATACTATCTATAAAGTTGTCTTGTCCTCCCCCCACCAAAAAAATAACATCTTAATCAAGCTTCTACATCAAACTGTCAATTTACAGGATATAGAGAGGGCAGAGCAACATGTTTAACCAAACTGCAATCCAGACTGTAGGAAATTCTACAGGACAACCACACAGGTTCTTCAAAAGATAAATTACAAAGAAAAAAAAGGGGATGGGGGGAAGAGGGAATCTACAAATTTTAAAAAAGACTTGAGACATTTCATTCATTAAAATTTTTTTGAATTCTCCCCCCAAAAAAGACAGTATCAGCCCCATGTACATCTGCTTGGGGAAGTGATTATGCTAATGACATAACCAGAATATTCAGGAATATTCTAGACTTTGGGACATTCCTTTTTTTTTGTCATTGCAAATAAATTAATGAATGTTCTGGTTTGTAAAAGAAAGGCAACAACAACATATATAGACTTTACTCTGCCTATGCTATAACCTAATATAAAAGTCTTATTCTGAAGACTATTCTTAAGACTATAGGTTCACAAGTTTTTTAAATAAGCCCCCCTTTTCCTTCCCAAATCCACGAGAGATGGCTGGAGCAAAAGTCAAAGAAAAAAATGAGAATAAAAGTCATAACTATGAAATGAAATTTTCACAATTTTCTTTTTAATTAAAGCTTAAAAGAAAGCTAACACCATCAATAGGATTAGCTGTCAAATGGAACCTTCCCAGAAGTAACCCAACTATGATATGATTTGAGATATCTTAATAAAAATTATAGCTCCTCCTTGTCATGAGGAAGTAGCTAGCTTAAGGTAAATTAAATGAAAATTAATCTGAAATTTCAATATGAGCACATGCTATAATGAAATTACTTGTTTGTTTCCATATTACTTCAAAAAGGATTTGAGACCGTTCACAGGGTGTATTAGAATTAAAAAGAAAGAAGAAATTGGGCATAGAGAAAATGAAAAGGAAAATAAGATAAAGTCAGAGGTAAGTTTACCACACAAACCATATGCTACAAGGTCCTATACAGTTATAAGAGAAGGAACACACATTTGACTTTGAGTTCCCTTCCTAAGAGAGAAATAACAATCAGTTACAAGTCATGATGACCACGTAATACAAGTGAACCAGCTGGTCAAAGGAAACAGCTTTTCCTGGTACCGAGACGTGGAGAAAAAATTACTACCATAGATTCTAATGATGATGATGAAGATGATAAAAAACAATAGATCTGAAATGTTTCCAACACAAAGAAATGATAAATGTTTGAGGTAATGGATATCCTAAATATCCTGATTTGATAATTATACATTGTATGCATGTATCAAAATATCATAGGCACCCCATAAGTATGTACTATTTATTTTAAACATTAAAAAAAAAAAAAAAAAAAACCCAGCAGCTCACCTTCACTGTATATGTTCTGGACCTGGCATGACCTCAGCATTTTGTATGTGTAAACTCACAAAATTCTCACAACCACCTTGTGGAGACAGGTACTATCATCCCTATTTAACGATGAAAAGGCTGAGGCACCAAGAGGTTAAGTAACACAACAACTAGGCAGTAGCAGAGAGAGCCAGAATTCAAGCTTAGGAAATCTGGCTCCAGAGCCCATACTCCTAACACAGCCCCTCATCCATAAAGCTGTCTCCCTTTGGATATAAGCATTTGCTTCCAGCTAAAGACAGTATTTGCCCATCATATATTAGCTCATTTTATGTTCAGTCTTCGTCCTCCAGATGAGCCGCTAATAGTAACAGTACTACTGTAATAGTAGTAACAACATCAACAAGGACACTGAGATAAAGGAGATAATACCCTCACAAGAATTCTACAAGAGAAGTGCTAAATTTCATAAAGCTGTTTGTTTTAATAGCTCTTAATAAATGTTTATTGCATTACACCAAAGAACAATTCTGTAAAAGCAATTCTATCCCAGTCTAAAACAATGCAATCAACATACTCTCTGGTATTCTGGCCTGGTCCAAGTAAAAACTGATTCTTTCTAAAGCAATGGATTGAAAGTGTTTTATTTAAGCAATTCTCAAAAAATGCTGTTTCTAGGTTTTTTTAATAAAAATCAGGCAGCAGAGTATGTGGATACATACTTGCTAGAGTGAAGCTATGCCATACTGCCAATTATAGGTACTATATATATTTCATAATCAAATGCAATCAGGTGAGTATTCTCTTATGATAATTAAGGAACCTAACCACTAAAGATGTCTAAGTAGGCTGCCAACCCACCTCTCCACGGAAGTGAGCCAAGAAAGTAACGAGCCAAAATTTTCCTCTGAAAATGATTCTGAATCTGCACCAATGGACAGTCAATTGAGTCCCAAAGTTCTATAGCCTTCAATGTCATCACAATGATTTTGACCCCAAAAGTCCTCAAAGCAAGAGTTTCCCAGCATTCAGCTCAGCCATTAAATCACCTGAATAAAGCAGCTATAGAGCATCCAACTGAGACATGTACCCCCAGCTAACTAAATCTTTAGCCAAAGAGAGAAATAACTATCAGTTTCAAAAGTCATGATGACTACATAATACAAGCAAACCAGCTGGTCAAAGGAAACACAGCTTTTCCTGGTACCGAGACCTGGAAAAAAATTTACTACATAGATTCTAATGATGATGATGATGATGATGCCAACAGGGGTCTGGATTAGCAAGGACTCTTTCAGTTACAAACAACAGGAACACTTGCAAACCAGCACAAGCAAATTGGGCAACTGATGAGTTCATTTAACTGGGAAATATTGGGTGGATCTAATACAGAGTGCAACTAGATCCAAAGGCTCCAATGGCTCCCAATGCTCACTCATTCAAGCATGTGAGAGTGAGTGTGTGTGTGAGTGAGTCTGTCTATCTGTCTCCGCCAGCTCTGCTTTACTCTGTATGTTGGCCTCATTCTTTCCTATGGCAGATGGGCTTCCTTCAAGGCACTCTCTACGTTAACTCGGCTTAGCAACTCCAATGGGATGAACCTGTCCTTCATCCAATATGTTTTTCAATCTCAAGGAAGGACTCAACCTGCTCAGGTCATCACACGGCCATCCGGCAGCAACCACTGTGTCCAAGAGAATGAAGTGTTATGACAGACCAAGCCTGAGTCACATGCCCATCCCTTGGGCCAAAGGGAAGGATGCTATGACCTAAAAAAATTAAAAAGAATGGGGGGAGGGGTGTTTACTACACAGCCTAAATTAACAGCTACCATAAAAAAAAGTCTTCAAGACAGAGACTTTCACTTTTTAACTCTATATACTTCCATTTCTTTGAATTTGTTATTAAAATGTCATCATGTATTTTATATGGTTCATTATTTAATTTTAAAAAGGAAAAAATAGCCAAGCACAGTGGCTCACACTTGTAATCCCAGCACTTCGGGAGACCGAGGCAGGTGGATCACCTGAGGTTGAGAGTTCAAGACCAGCCTGACCAACAGGGAGAAACCCCGTCTCTACTAAAAATACAAAATGAACCAGGCATGGTGGCACATGCCTGTACTACTTGGGAGGCTGAGGCAGAAGAATCGCTTGAACCCAGGAGGCGGAGGTTGCGGTGAGCCGAGATTGCCCCATTGCACTCCAGCCTCAGCAACAAGGGCAAAACTCCGTCTCAAAAAAAAAAAAGAAAAAAGAAAAAAATATTGGAATACAGTCAGAAAGTCTAAGGTTTAAAAAGTTCAGGATTGATGACTTTAGGAATAAAACAGGGAAAAAACAAGCCTCATGGACAAGTAAGGATCTAAGCTTCCTAGTAGTTCTGCAAACTTGGCCAACACCAATAGTTGGCCAACTATTTTAACCACCACCCAATAGTCCTTAACAAACCAAGCATTAGAAAGGCAAACAAAAAATGGAGAAAACAGGTTTTAATTAATTAGCAATATGTTGATAACAGGGGGAAAATGACCTCCAAGGATACTAGAGAAATTTTGTGAACTTCTCAGACAGCAAAAGTCTCCAAAAGTATCTAAGCCCTTTACTCCCTCTCTCACTTTTCTTACCTGAAATCTTACCAGTTAAACCATATATGTAGGAAAGTCCTGGATCAGGTATACTGAAGCCAAATATTCACTTTCTGTTTCAAATATCCATTCTAAAGATGGTAGCAAACTAAAACAATTCATAATACTTACCCCTAAAATAGACACACTAGTAAAGTTTCTCCTTTAATTGTCCCAAAGGCTACCATTCAGTGCTTGTAAGTTCTTTTCACAAATAAATTTAATAATAAAAATTCCATTTAGGTTGACACATAAAAGCAATTCTTCTTTTCTTCAATAACTCCAAGCAGGGTCTACCAATTTTGGTATTCACCACTAAAGAAAATCAATTCTGCTATAGTAAGGCAAAATCATTTACTCCTCACCAAATATTCATGTTCTTACCCACACTTCCTAGCCCCTTAAGTAGTATCCTATGACTACTTTTAGCCAATAGTCTATAAGAAAAATCGATGTGGGACACTTTAGGGCCAAAGCCACAGTAACCAAGGAGGCTTCATGTTCTAGATGGTACACCAAACCTATTTTATTAACTAAAAACGCTTTTATCATGTTCCATGGGACTATGCCATAAGCAACATTCCAAAGCCCACAAATTGAATTCAAATCCACTTCCTCTAGAAAGCCTACCCAGATCATACTAGGCTCCTAGTATCATCGGTAACAAACTTATGTATGTATACTGTGGGTAGAGCATTATGAAAGCACTGTGGTACAAGTCTCCATCTACTATAATTTACAATCTGGAAGCGAAGGATACATGTAAAAACAGAGACAAGTAGCCAGGCGCAGTGGCTCACGCCTGTAATCCCAGAACTTTGGGAGGCTGAGGCAGGCGGATTACCTGAGGTCAGGAGTTCAAGACCAGCCTGGCCAACATGGTGAAACCCCGTCTCTACTAAAAACACAAAAACTAGCTGTGTGTGGTGGTACACATCTGAAATCCCAGCTACTCGGGAGGCTGAGACAGGAGAATCGCTTGAACCCAGGAGACAGAGGTTGCAGTGAGCCAAGATCACACCACCACATCCAGCCTGGACGACAGAGCAAGACTCTTGTCTTAAAAAAAAAAAAAAAAAAACAGAGACAAGTATACATGATAAAAAATTTCACGTGAGTGAAGAAATAAGTGCTAGACAAGTTTCCATATATCTCAGTTAAAAACTAAGCCATACACTCTCATGTGACATATTTTGTATTGTATATTATTTTTAAATTCATGTATGATTTATAGCAAATGAGACTCCCTTATAGGGGTTATAATCTCCTTGAAAGGCAAGAATCCTAAAATATAACTACTTTATGGTGCCCCATATTATCAAACAACAGGTATTCAATTAAAATTTGTATTTTATTGTGAAGACTGTGTTGAAAAATTAAAACAGAAATGTAGTAATCCTCAATACATGAGGAATTAGTGTTCCCATCACTGTTAAGAAGACAGAGGAAGGAACACAAGTTTTTCTGTCACCCAGGACAGGTAGAGCTCTACACTGGAGAACAATTACTCACCAAGCTACACCAGACTTTTGAGATATCCCTTTACAGCCAACTTCTTATGTTGTAGAACAACACGTTCTCCAAGCAATACCAGATTTCCAATTTAATTCCCTAAATACCCTGAAACTAGTCAAGAAAATCCCTAGTTTATCTGTGAGTATTCCAGGAACACGCACACATTCACACCCACAAAAGGTCTATTTCTCTAAGTACATTCATAAGTAGCATTATGCTTTAATCAATATGACTTGACAAATATTGTAATATCTATGTGTGTAAGACACTGCAGAGGACAAAATATAAAACCTAATCCCCATCTGCCATTCTCATACCCTAATACAGGAGACAGGACACACAAAAACAAAAAATTTCATAAGGTACAAGGTTGTACATATAAAGTACCAAGCGAATAACAAGGAAAATAAATACTGAGAGTTCACAGGAGGAATTGATTACTTTTAAATTTTATGGTCTGAACACTTAATAAGCAAGGTGAAATCTGAGTTGAGCTGTAAAGGATAGGTAGAATTTCAAAAAGCATAGACTAGATTAAGGGAGAACATTCCTTGGAAAATAACATATAAAGAGGTAGAAAGAGAAAAGCTCAAGAGATGTTTAGAGGACAAAAAATTGACAATTTTATTTCAAAACACAATTTACTGGGGCAGACTAGTGGGAAATGAACCCAGAAAAGAAAGCTGGGGCCAAACACTGGAAAGGTTTAAATGCCAGGCTAAGGAACAACTTTATCTTGACAGCAATGAGGAACCACTGAAGGTTTCTGAGCAAAACAGTACCATTAAAGTAAAAATTAGGATAATCATTCCGAATCAAAATTTGGGACATATGAAGAAGGAACTCACTGGGGAGTGGGACCACTTTGCTTGACCAATTAATTAATTGTTTGACCAATAATTAAGCCCCAAAAGAAAAAAAAGAATAATTAAGCCTGAACTAGAATGTCAGTGAGGAGAAAAGAGCCTACAAAACTTGCAAAGTGTTTTTAGCATATGTCAAATCAGACTCTAAGGATTCTAGAAAGCTGAAATTCAGATGCTAAAGATAGGTCAAAAGCACAACTGTGAATCCCAGCCTACCCAGCAGGGATACTTGAAGCGAAGTGAATTGAAACTGGGCTCTTTATATATATTCCTGTCTCTACACCCATACAATAGGTCCACTCTTTTTAATTGGGGGTTAGGGGGATATAGATGGAAAATAACATATATAAAAGCAGCCAAGGGATGGAGGGCCAGGTAGTTGTGCAATAAACAGACAGAACTCAAACACCTGTAAAAGCCAAAGGCACTGCAATCACATCTGTTGCAAAGTGGAAAAACAGACTGCACATCTAGTCATACGGTGGGCTTGAGTAATGACATCAGATATATCCATCAAACTTGGCAAGAGGGTACAACTGGATGAGTAGAGTTACTGAGGTCCCAGTCCACAAAAACAGAGATCCTAAACCATTGGGGGAGGTCATGGACCCTTTCAGAAATTTGGTGAAAGCTCTAGACCCTCTCCCCAGATAAATATATAGACTCACAAAATTTTACATACAATTTCAGAGTGCTTACAGATCCCCTAAAGCCTATCTAGGGGCTCTTATTCTATGAACCCCAGGTTAGGAACTTCTGGTATAGAATCATGATAGCCATTTTTATCACATATCTCATGGTTTAAAAGTTTATGAATAGGAAGCCATTATACTTATTTATAATTTGTATATATTGCACACCAAATCAATAAATTATGTAGATATGGCATATACAAAAAAGGAAATTAAAAAGAATATTATAGCAAGTAAACAAATTTTTAAACATTTACTTTTCTTATTGATGACACAAAAACTTTGTGCTTTTCCTAATATTGTTATTATATTAATACCACTCACTACTTTTGGTGACAGCAATGTAAATGAACATGGTTTGTTATTTTTATATCTTGCTTTCATACTTTGTAATATAACAACTTGAAGGTCTAGTTCTATATTCGGTTCATTTTTATGAGATATAACTATTTTATTTGGTTTTAATGGTTATCATAGCTGAAAAAATGTTACCTCACAAATATGAATAAAACCAAAAGAACTCCATTACTGGGTGCACTGAATAAAACATGATATTCAATTTCCAATCCCATTCACCATTTATGCAAAGGTTTTTGCTAAAATTCAGCTAGTGCATTTCCATACCTTCTGATGGCAATCAGTTGTTCTTATAAACTAATCAGATGGTATTGCCTTTTTGTGTTTTCAGCAGATGGGCTCAAAATCACTAAACAGCTCTTTTAAAAGATTTTTATACAGGTTAGAAAATTCTGTTTCCAAGTTCAAGTATACATATAAAAAAAGCTCTTAAAGTTAACACATATAATTTTCAACAATTAAATTCCATAACAGGAAAAATTCTAAATATCCATTTTCAATATCCTTTCCCTACAGCATTAAATTTTTTGTTGTTGTTCTGAAAGGTAGTTACTTTTTGAATCACTGTTAAGAACTTACCCTATTATCTCAAAGGGGCAGATTAAGTGTGTTTATTTGCTAGGTAACATAGCACTTATAGCCACGTTTCACAAAAAGGACCAACAAACTTGGGACATTTGTCTTTTTGTGAAAAAATACTGAGTAAGTCATCTTTAAGTTAGATCATTCTTAACTCCTCTGCCTCAAGGTGACCACTTAATCTCTATGAAATGGTATTAAAAAGATCTGCATAAGTGATCTCTACTGCAATACAAAATAGTGTTGAGTCTACTATTTAAAATAATAAACCTAAAAATCCAGTTACCCAAGCCCCTGTAAACTACAAACCACCACAACAGACTGAAAGAGAAGAAACATCTTCACAGACCTCTAGTATTTCTTCCATTTTGCGGATAATTTAATGTTAAGAAACTACTGGCCAGGCGCGGTGGCTCACGCCTGTAATCCCAGCACTTTGGGAGGCCAAGGCGGGCGGATCACCCGAGGTTGGGAGTTCAAGACCAGCTTGACCAACATGGAGAAACCCCGTCTCCACTAAAAATACAAAATTAGCCAGGCATGGTGGCACATGCCTGTAATCCCAGCTACTAGGGAATCTGAGGCAGGAGAATCACTTGAACCTGGGAGGTGGAGGTTGCAGTGAGCCGAGATCGCGCCATTGCACTCCAGCCTGGGCGACAAGAGCGAAACTCCTTCTCAAAAAAAAAGAAAGAAAGAAAGAAAAAAAGAAACTACCGGGCTAAAAGTGCCTGGGGTCCCAAGAGTTAAGGCTCTTTATCAGCCTACCCAGCAGGGATACTTGAAGGGATACTTCCAGCCAATTTCTGTTGTATGCTATCAAGGTTTAAAGGACTTATCTTTAAAGGTACCCCAATTACACTGTATCATCTCTGAATTACTACCAGTTTGGCAAAAGACACACCACAGCACATTCAGTGACACTAGTTGTCTTCAACACTGTTCCCTCCGTGTAACGAGTAACGTTGGCTAGGGGCATCAGTCAAATAATAGACAGGGCTGGAACAAGGTCCAAGACTCCTCAAGACACATCCTGCCTTAAATCCTTTTTGGAACATGGCAAGGCATAAATAAATCAGTAAAATAAATCATGAACTATAAATGAGAGCCAGGGGCTTCCAACTTGTATGACCAATCTCATTTATACAGTCAGATACACTTATATTTATACAAAGAGACATTTTTACACCGAACAAACAAGTCCACTGCATCATCTTAAAAAATGCCAAGTGATAATACACTGTTTAAAAGAATACTTACTGCTTAAAAAAAAAAGTCAATGGTATGAAATAGAAGATAAAATGGAAAAGAAGTACACTAAGAACAATATAAAGCACATTTAGAGGGCATGAAATTAGATCTGATAAACAAAGGGCCATAGAACAATGCTGGAGGAATGTTGGAATATTGCAATCCTGGTTGGTCCAAAATTCATCTATATATTTAATAAACTCAAATCAACATCTAAGAATCACTGGGAGGTTAAAATTTTTTTTTAAGGTTGATGGCAGGATTTTCCTTATCAGTAACAATATATAAAACAGTAAGGAACTGCCACATATTAAATAGATGTATCTATTTTTGGAATAAAGAAATGCAGAATCAGAAAAAAGGGAGTATAGAAACATCAAAATGTAGACTTCAAAATAGTAGGGAATTATTAAAATGAATATGTTAATAAATTATGTTGGATCAACTGGCTAACTCTTGGGCAAGTATCATGCAATATGCATATCTCATATCACATGTAGGTTAAGGCATAATTCATAATCAAAAGTAAAAAACAAAAAAGTTAATTCGAAAAAAGTATAAGGCAGTGAAAAAGATTTTGTACCAACTTCTATTCAAAAAAAAAACCATATAATCTGTGTTTAAATATACATAAAAATGAGTGAATAAGTTCCCAATGTGGGTAAGCCTTACATATGGAATCATTTCAAAAACAAAAAATATGAAATTTGGGGTATAAAACCTGCCAAGAAAAGATCCACGTAAATTTGGAAAATTGACATTTCTCATTTTCATCCATATCTACATACTTACTACATACTGCTCCCCACCACCTCCCTCCATTAAAATCCACCAATGTTTTCTTACTACACCTAGACGATATGCTTCCCTCTCCCACTTCAGCTGATGCCACACTCCTTGCACTTTCCCCTGCATTACTCCGTCTTTTCATCTTTGCTATTTAATCTTCCTGAACATACTGTTCTCCTTGTCTCTATTCTTAAAGAAATCATCCCCTGCCCTCAATGCTTTTGTCTACCACCAAGTCCTCCATAAAACTTGCCCTGATTTTTCTCAAATGAAAATACAATAATCATTCCCTCTCCCTGAATGTTCAAAGCACTGTTTCAGGACCTGTCTCACAGCACTCATCACATTCAATTACTATTATAGGTATTTGTATGTTTGTCTTATCACCTCTCTCAGGTCATAATCTGCTTAAGAACAGGATCTATATTTTATCGGTTAATTTCCCAATAACCACTATCTTTTTACAGCACAGCACCTTGAACAAAGTACGTACTCATATAACTACGTCTTGACCGAATGATTGAGTAGCTACTTAGAAATTCAATTACAGACTACCTGTACCATTTAGAATGGAGAGGGAGATATTAGACATTGCAGAACAAATAACTTTTTGTTTCTTACAAACAAATTCACCAAAGTAAAGTCAATATTACACATACAGATGTTTTCAAAACTCAAGGACATTTCATCCTTCAACTATCTGGTCAAATATGATGTGATATGTTTATATACATACATACATTCACAATAGAATACCTACTGTTAAATAATCAAATCTATGCTTGATAATAAAAGTATGTAAATGTTTTAACTATATAGGCAAACTGGAATTTTAAGATAAAATCAACCATTCAAATTACAAGTGGAAACACAGAGAATGACCAAGCAATTTGTTCCAAAAAAATAAAAACAAAACCAAACCACACTAAGCTTTAGCTATTTAAATACCAACAAAACTTGAGAGGCAGAATTTTATGGCTAAGAATCCAAAACCAACCAAAGATAACCTTACCTGGATAGAAGCACCAAAGAATCAACATTACTGAAGTACAAAGGTGAGACCAGAAACAGCACAAGAATCTTTTTTTTTTTTTGAGATGGAGTCTCGCTCTGTCACCCAGGCTGGAGTGCAATGGCGCGATCTCGGCTCACTGCAACCTCCGCCTCCCTGGTTCAAGCAATTCTTCTGCCTCAGCCTCCTGAGTAGCTGGGACTACAGGCTTGCGCCACCACACCCGGCTATTTTTTGTATTTTTAGTAGAGACAGGGTGTCACCATATTGGCCAGGTCTCGAACTCCTGACCTCATGATCTGCCTGCCTTGGTCTCTGAAAGTGCTGGGATTACAGATGTGAGCCACCACGCCCAGCCCACAAGAATCTTAAAGTGACATTTTCATCAAGTAACTGGTATATATGGCTCCCGGGTCATCAGAAAGGAACAAGACTGCAGGAGTCTCCACAACACAGGTATTCAAGAGAAAGAAAGTCCAGAAAGAAAAAAAAAAAAGTATAATGTGGCCAAGTGTGACGAACATGCTTGAAGAGAAGCCAATTGAAAGGTATGAATATGATTTCCACTCAGTAGGCTTGAACTCAAATGTCATCCCTAACACCTATAAGCTGTGCAATCTTACGCCAGCCACTTAACTTCCCTGAGCCTTGTTTCCTCATTTATAAAATGTAATATGTAGAGCTAGCACAGTACCTGGCTCAGAGACAACACTCAATAAATATTTGCTGACTATGAATGAGGGCCTTACAAGAAAAGCAGACGTTTTTCTACAGGTACTTTTGTAGTTTTTGAGAAAACGGTCTTAATTAATTCCTAATTAATACCTTTTTACAATATTTGAGAGTCATATTTTGGTCAAAAAATAAAAATGCTCCTTTCCTCCTAGCTTACACATTACTCAAAAGCTTACAGGAATTCTTATTATTTAAAATATCTTTGTAATATTGTAACTTTAAATACAAAAAGTAACTCTCATAAAGAAACCCTATTCCCAACTACATCTGCATGGACTTAGTCTGCTCAGCTGTAATATTAAGAAGGCTGTCCTAAATGATCATTTAAGGCTCTTTAACTCTAAATGTTGTAGTTCCTGGCATCTCAAGCGTTTTCCAATCTGTTTAGGAAAACCAATCAACACACACTAAAAAGAGAATCTCTCTCAAAAGAAAGAGAGAGAAAGAGAAGTTTATTATACAGAACAGAGTACCTAATGCTAAGGGAGTGATAAAAATCAAGCTTTCTTGAAAACATACCAGCTTTGATGCTGTTTTTGAAGGTCACGAGAACATAAAGGAAATCCAATTTAAATGAAGAAAATGGAACATGTAAAAGCAAAGACGCAAGATATCTATGATTATCATAATACTTTCTTCATTGCGTAGCACTTTACAGTTTGCGAAGTATTTCTGCATATGCCATCTACAGCAAATTTTCTGGAATGGGAAATGAAAGAATCAGTTTAAATGATTTACATTTGATAAATTTGCCCACAGAAAATCTCCTCTGAAAACAATAACATAAAAAAATTTTTTTAGAAGGGAATTTCTTCAGCATTATGTGTAGGACAAATTAGAGAGGTAAATGCATGCAAGCAAACAGCTATAAACCTACAAATCACAGAATTTTAAAACAAGAAGAAATGTGAAATTAGACCAACATGCTCATTTAATGATAAAGAAACTCAGGCCCACAGAGTCAATGTGACTCCCATTACTCCATGTGCAAATGACAGGAGGACCAGATTGCAGAACCAGAAATAAAGGAAAAAATTTGAGAAATTACAAAGAAAAGAATGCGAGAATTTGGTGATGAATTCGCTAATGAAATACCTGTTAGTCATTAATGTCTATGTGCCAATCATATGCTAAACACATTTAATAATTTTAAAGATTACAATATGAGGACAAGTACGTTACTCCAATTTTAAATATAAAAACTGAAGTTTAGTGTGGTTAAACAGCTCAAGGCTACATCAACCTAAGTATCTGGAAGAGCTAGGACACCTCTGTCTGTCTGGTCAGAGTTTCTTTTCTAAAAGATGCTTTAAAATTGCCCCACAATTATAAGCTGAAAGGGCAAAAATGAAGCATCACTCTGGAAAAACTGGATAATCCAGTACAATTAGAATTCTGGTCCTGATAATGGGTGCGTTTTGCTTCCGTGCTTGCACCTATTTTTATGAGTCTGGCCTGTCTGTGCCTAATGGTCAGGTCAGGGCTACTCAGTAAAACCAAACATCCCTGCCCTCCACACACTAAAACATACTCTCGGGGAGTGGTAAGAACAAAATATATCCAAGATGAGGGTGAGTCTTCCATAACTCCTCGAGTGACTAGAGCTTCTATTTTGGCATAAGCTACTTATCTTTTAAATATGATAACCATACTAAGCTTTTCTAAAAGCCTATCACTCCAAGGAGCCTCAAAAATTCTGTGTTGCAGATGGGGTTATGGGGGAAGAAGCATGGATACAACTCACTTTACTTAAACTTATGGAATTGGACTTATATGTTGGTATCAGCGTTTTATAATAATTTCCCTTATTCAGCCATGTATCCTGCAGAAATATATAATAATCATTTCTATACATTAATCCAAATACTATAGCCCACAAACCATTTTCCAGAACTAAGCTATTAAAAAAAAAAAACAAAAAAAAAACACCTTCATCTCCTTATGAAATGAAGCAACCAACATTGGTACCTAGTTGCCACTAGGCCATTTTATGACCTCTGACACCAAATGTTGAAAGGCACAAGGTCTAACTAAAATATAAAGAGAAAAGGAAAGGTTTTAAATGACTAGACCTCATCTTCAATGTTAAGAATAGAACATGAGGCCTATCCTTAGTTGCCAATCACCAACGGCTAAACTACTGCTAATCTGGGAAAGAAGCAATTTTAAAAAGTCCTTTCCTACAGTCTAGTCTTCCCAAATGGGTAGGAAAGTTAATCTAAGATAGGGAGAAATTTATACGGTTCTGCAGCCCAGATCAGATACAGTGTTCTGACATCCACCTCCTGAAACACATGGATTTCACCCGAGCCCACACCGACCACAGCATCCAATATTTGCAAGTAATGCAAAATGGAACCCTCCAAAACATTTTTGGACCTCTGCCAGGAAAGCAGCTGATGGTCCTCTGAGAATTTCTGTTATAATCATATTTAAAAGGCAAAAACCAATGCCAAAACAATCATGAGCGTCCCGGGGATCTCCTATGCTCCATGACTTAGATTTTACTCCGTGTTGTGCGTTGTATTGACCTCCCACACCTGCCCTATAATGAAAACTATGTTAAGCCACATGGCTTAAGGCCAGCCAACTCCATAAGATATGCAACATAACATTCAAACAATGTGGAGTCCTTGGGAGACGCAGCAAAAAAGACAAACTAAAGTACGGAACAGAGGTAGTATCTAAGAGGAGGTATATGAAATTGATGACAACCAAGCAGGGAGAACTAAAACATCCTTGAAAAACAATTATAAATCACAGTCTAGTATACAGATTCCCTATACAGAATTGGGGAAAAGAATTTCAAGAAAATGCCCAATACCCTCTCTCCACCACTCCACCTTTCAGCACCTCTATACCACCCTCATCACTTACTCAACATTTAGTCCTAGTGAAGACCGCTCACTGGATTAGCAGGATCAAGAAGACATGCACAGAACATTCCATTCTGAGAACAACATCTTTAAATTATTTAGGCTTGTTTACCACCCTTCCCTATAGAGTAAAAGCATGAAATGTTGCCAGCACTTTCACAATATACACCAGTTAGCACCATAGCAACCCAATCTTCTGCCCACCAAAAGATTAACACATAAGCAGAAAACAGGAAATTCAACAAAAATTAAAGTTTGACCTTAGACTCCCTCAACAGTTAAATGTCTTAAGTAGTAGCAGTGTCTTTACATCACACCCGCTTCATGCTACCCTTACAGCTTCCTGGCATAAGCAAGTTCTTGGGATTATACAAACTGCTGCTTCTGTTTGCAGCCCAGATTTCTAGAAATGAAACCCTGGAATTGAGGGAGAAACAAAAACAAATGTTCGCAGAAAGAGGCAGGAAGAAGCATTGTCTATATAATCCTAGTTTAAGTGAAACAATCACCATTAGCTCCATCAAGCACTTTTTTTTTTTTTCCAATAAAACCACTGCAGATCTAAAATACTCTCTTGGTTTAAACCACACAAAAAGCAATTTAATAGGCACAATCCTACAGGTTTTCTGAGAGAAATAAGGAAGAGATCAAGTGTAAGCTACGTAAAATTCACGTTTTGCACCTTATAAAGCAAACTTCAATGTTGTTAAATAACCAGTAGAAAATATCTACAAAAATCAAACTAAACACCTGTTCTTATAAGCAGCAGTCCTCTATTTTCTCTCTAAACCATATATTCCCAACTCAGACCCTCTCTGTGACCCACTGTTCCCAAAGCATAGAGTCTGAAGAAGAAATATAAAACATTTCGGACATTCGTTCACAAAACCAAATTAGACCTTTCCACAAAGTACAGGAGATAAAACAGAAACACTTCCATTTTATCTAATTTATGGCAAATAGTTCAAGGAATGCCTATTTGTTAAGCTGAATCAAACCCCACTGCTACCTTTAACCCAAAACTATTTCTAGTTGAAGATCCAAGAGACCTAAGCAAATACTTTCTTTTCACATTATTCTCAACATGAAGAAATCCGACCCCCTTCCTACAACATCATAGGAGGCCCCTCTGGCCAACTTTCGTTGTTATTGTTGTTGTTTTGTTTGCTTTTTTTTTGAGACTAGCCTCCAACCAATTCCAGAAGAGGAGACAAACCTCAAACAAATTTAACCCTTGAGATCCATCCCTCAACTGTATCATATAATCTACGCTTCACGGCAGTAATGTTTTAAGCAGACACTTGATTTCTTAATCACTGAAATGTAAGCACCAGCCCTCACAAATCATCGCCACAGAGATTCCTCTTGGCATCCACAGAGGGTGCTGGGACTGCAATTCACTCAAGAACCCTTTACTCACCAACATCACACTCGACATTAAAAACTCACCGTCTCCGAAGAAAAAATGTCACCTTCTGCACAAGGACACCTGCCTGTTCAACACCTCTACAAGAAACGAGGAGGGCCAAGCATGAGAGGCTAACAGATCCTCCAGCTTAAAGTTTTCCTCCCCATGAAACTCTCCGGACACAACACCGTGGCCTGTCCTTGTCACACACACACAGGCTGTATTGTCAACCCCTCCGTCTCCCTCTAACGTCGTCAGACTGGGCAGTGTCTACCCATGGGGGTAACTGCTTTTAAATAAAATAAAAAAGCAGCCACCACAGCTGGGTAGTAAGGACTGGAGACCCTGGGTGTCCGATTTTTTCAGGTCTTTTACAAGGGACTAGAGAGCGGCCCGAATTCTGTCACTGCCCACTAACCAACCCCACCTCCCAATCGCCTCGTCAACATGTTTGCTTCCCTTCCTCGGCCCTTTCGGCTGAATCCCAGGAAGGGGACCAAACCCGGGCCGCGACAGGAACATGTCCAGTATCCATCCCATGTCTACCTCCGAAACCCCTTCTCGGGAGAAGGGGCGAGCAAGCGCGCCGGGGTCAAACCCAAGCGCCGTCGAGGGCTGCGCCGACGGAGAGGGACGCCGCGGTCGCCCCCATTTCGCGGTCCCGGCAGGCGAGATTCCGAGAGGTGAGCGGGCCGGCCAAGGTCACGGCGTCGTCGGGGCCGAGGGGCGCCCGCGCCGACTTCCGGCTCCCCCTCTCGGCGGCGGCCCGGGGCGCCCGCTCCCCACGCCGGGCAGGCGGCCGCGCAGCTCGCACCCCCTCCGCGGATGCTCGCCCTCTCCGCGCTAACTAGGGCAACTGGAAAAGAGGCGGAGAGAAGTCGCTGCTGCAGCGATTTCCCCCGGCGGGGAGCAGCCCCCAGCTGGTGCCCGTGACAGCTGCGACCTCCGCCCCCTCCAGCCGCGCCGGGCCGCGAGGGGAACTCGGGGAAGTGGGAGGAGGATGGAGCGGGAGAAAGGAGAGCAGGGGGCGGAGGGGCGCCAGCTGCTCCCCGCCCCCTAGGGCCTCCGCGGCCGCGCGGCTCGTGACAGCTGCACCCACCGGGAGGCTCCGCACCCGCAGCCCGCCACTCACCTGCCGCCGCCGCCTCTGGGCCCCGCTCACCGGCGCCGCACTCGTCCGCGACCGTGGCGGCGGCGCCGCCCCGGCCTCCGCCGCTCCTCGGGCCCGGCGCCGCGGCTCTCCGGCCCCCTCCTCCGGAGCAGGGGTCCCCCCGCAGGGGGATGCAGAGGGAACCTGACGCAGGCTCCGCTCGAGGGAGCAGCAGCGAACAGGCGGCGGAGGCCCTCAAGGCCGCGAGGCAGCCGTCGGAGGACAGAGCTCAGCAAATCGCGTCAGACTCCCGCTCGCCCGGCCTGAAGAACAGGCATTTCAGCCGCTCTCCGCGGCCGCCATGTTCTCCTCCTCGGCCGCCACCGCCGCCGCCGCCACCGCCCCCCGCTCGCGGCACCGCCCCCTTCGCGCCCCGCCCCGCCCCGCCCGTTCCCGGCCGCCCGCCTGCCCGCCCGCCGCACTTCCCCTGCCGGCTCCGGCCGCCCGGGCCGCCGCGACCCGGTGCCCGCGAGCTCCGACAGTGCGCCCGGGACAGCGCGCCCCCAGCCCGCCGGGCCTGCCGGGCCCGCCGAGCGAGGAACCGCCCCGCGCCCTCTGCCGGCCCGCCCCAGCCGGCGTCCTAACGAAGTGTGGGAAAGGAGGCCCGAACTCTTCCCCGCCCGTCTCAACTCCTCCCCGCCCCTCTCCTGCCCTCCCCTCGGGGCGTTCCTCCCACTGCTGCCGGGAAGCGGCCTCGAACACCAGGGCGCTCGCAGCTAGGCCGCCGGGCCTGCCGCCTCCCGCTGTTCTTTATCTTTCTGGGAAGGTGTCGGAGCGGCGAGAGGCCCTGCGGACGGGGCGGAGTCGGCTCCGGGCCTGTCCCTCCACTCGGGCGTTCTGTTACTTTGAGCGAGACATATCCCGCGGGCCTCGTTTTTTATTCTGTAAAATTGGGAGGTGGTTGCCTAGATGATTTCACAGGCTATTAGACAAGAGAAAAGGAAGATCGTCTGCCCCCTTCGTTTTACAGATGAAAAGATCTGCCTGACCCGTTCTGGCTCTGCAATTCCATGAATTATCTAAAATGTCTGTCATTCACAGATCTTTCCCCTCAAGGGGCCCACACCTTTCTTCTTATCTCCCTTTTCTTTTTTTTTTTTTTTTAACTTCTCTAATAGAAGTGCTACTTCCAAAAGTAGAGTGTTCTTGTCACCAGAGGAATCGAACAGCGGCTGAACAGCCTCTCTGAGCTGCGATGGCCTTATCTGGACCGCATCCCGCATTCCAAAGGCTGGCAATGCAATATATACCTATGTCTCTCCCTGGGTTGTCCTAAGCATGAATGAGTCACTCGCCGTGGAAGTGCCTTGTAAAGCATACATCTGTCCATTCCTTTCTTTTATTCTTACCCCATTTCGCACTCTTACCCTTCCTCAATCCTGTCCTGCTGCTGCTGTCTCCCGGCGTTTCCTGCTGTTTCGCTTCCTGTGTGTTCTCCCCTAAATCAATCTCTGTAAATCCTTAAGCCCTTCCCACCCTTCTCCCAACTGGGGAACCTGACAGCCTTGAAAACACCAATCTCCGTGGCAGCTCTCTGAGTCGACGGGCAGCTTCTTTCACAGGCAGGTACTACTGTATGCTTTCACCATCCTCTTCCTATCCTTGTCACGCTCATAAAGTAATCGCTAGACCACACCCCCACATGCATTCATATATTCATTCATTTATATATTCATTCCCCTGATTCTTATCGGAGACCTACTACTGGGGCCCTAGGTGCATCTCCTGAGCTCTGGCTTAGCAGTACCTCTAGCCACCCGCAGAGTCCCTATCCCCAATAATAGCTGAAAATACCCGGGCACTCATGAGTTTCGTCCCCTAATGTAGGGCCTACTTCCCAATCTAGTCCAATGCAGACTGTGTGAAAGTGCCTTGTTCTAGCCTCTGGTGCCAACAAATGAGCCACTTGTGCAAGGTACTCCTGTCTCCACTAGACTCTAGTAAGTGCTGAAGGCCAAATCTAGTGGCCACTTCAGTCCTACTGTCGTGTGGCCTTTCTACAGCACGTGATACTGCTAACTCCTCCTTTTTGAAACTCTCCTCCCTTGTCTTCAATATGAGTCTCTCTACCTGATTTCTGAACTTGCCTTCGTTTGCACTTTTCTTGGGCTGCTCCTTTTTTACGGGGCCATAAAAAATGTTGGTATCCTCAAGGTTTTATTTTTTTCCTTCCTTTCCTCTGGCTTCGGTTGACTGTTTATTTCCACAGCTTCAACTGTTAACAAAACAACTCCTGAATTTCCTTCTTCCAATCTCCCACTCTGCAGCCCGGGGTCGTAATTAACTTTAAAATATCCTCAAGACACACAGTGCTAAGATTTTGTTGAATGACAAATTATTTAGGTGTTAATTTATATTGCCATAACCATCCATGTATGCTAAAGAGAGAGTTCTTTTCTAGAATGGTACTGTTTCTTTTTTGTTGTTGTTGAAACAGAGTCTCGCTCTTGTCGCCCAGGCTGGAGTGCAGTGGCGCGATCTCAGCTCACTGCAGCCTCTGCCTCCTGGGTTCAAGTGATTCTCCTGCCTCAGCCTCCCGAGTAGCTGGGATTACAGGCACCCGCCACCACGCCCGGCTAATTTTTTGTATTTTTAGTAGAGACAGGGTTTCGCCGTGTTGGCCAGGCTGGTCTTGAACTCCTGACCTCAGGTTATCCACCAGCCTCGGCCTCCCAAAGTGCTGGGATTACAGTCATGAGCCACTGCGCCTGGTAATGTTTCTTAAATAATAACTCTTTGACTTTTTTCTCCTTCCTCTACAAGTCATAATCACTTGTCAAAGCAGTTATAACACCCTTTTATGTCTCCAATTGGTAATCTTTTCTCTGGTCATACTCAACTTCTCTCAGACTCCATCTACTTTTACTAAACAGGCCCATTTTACTAATCCACCCGAGCAACCCTAAATATAGGGCCAAAAGATTCATTAGATTTACTTCGTGACTGTACAAGTAGCCTCTCTAAAATCCATTTACCTTAGCTATTTAAAATTTATTTACTCCCAAAATACAATGCCAATCAACAAGGAAGACTAACTCCAATTAAATGAAAATGCTTTGAAGATATTTATAAATAAAAATGTAAGACAACATTTAACTCTTATAGCCCAGATAGAACTGGTTTTAGTCCAAACCCTATTGTTTCCATAAATTAATATAATCCTTTGGTGGACTAGAAACAGCCTAGTTCTACGGGCAAAATCTAGAACATACCTGTTGGATTTTCTCCAGAGCATAATAGATTTCCAGTTCTATAAAATATATGGCTAGTGTGCATGAAATTACTCCAGTTACTGAGGCAAGAATTGATTTAACTTTGACATTCTTTTTTTCAAATAGTTTTTTGTTTTATAATAATTGATACAGACTCACAAAATATTCAGTCAATAAAGAACAGCACAAAAAGTTTAAAAATAAACTTTTTCAAGCCAGAGAGAAACATAGTAAACATGTTTCCACACCTTTCTCTATATATATTTGCACATATAAATACACTATATGTAGTCAATTTTACATAAAAATAAAATCACGCCTGTAATCCCAGCACTTTGGGAGGCCGAGACAGGCGAATCACCTGAGGTCAGGAGTTCAAGACCAGCCTGGCCAACATTGTGAAACTCTGTCTCTACTCAGTGTGGTGGTGGGTGCCTGTAATCCCAGCTACTCAGGAGGCTGAGGCAGGAGAATCATTTGAACCCAGGAGGCAGAAGCTGCAGTGAGCCAAGATCGCCTCACTGCACTCCAGCCTGGGCAACAGAGTGAGACTCCATCTCAAAAAAATAAAATAAATAAAATAAAATCACATGATAAATGCTCATCAGTAATCTGGTGCCTTTTACTGTACAATGTATTTTCATCCTAATAGTTAAATACTCTTGCATTGTGTATCTGTTTAGCCATTTAATTCCTTACTAAAAATGTTTACATTGTCTGTATTTTTGTTTGTATATTTTTGTAAATCATGCTGTAATTCTAATGCATGCCTCCGTGCAGTTTAGAAATTATTTTCTTTAAATTTCTAGAAGATTAATTGTTGGCTCAAAGGGTACATGTTAATTTTTTTACTACATTATTTACCAAACTGGCCTCCAGAAAATTGTTTCAATCTGTGGTCCTAGCCATAGTGCATGAGCCTGCCACTTGCCCATAACCAGCTCTGTATTTTACCCATTTCACTTTGAATAATCTTTAATTTCTACATCTGCTTAAAGGATAGAGGTTAAGAAGACTAGGTTTAGAGTTAGGGAGACCCAGGTTTGAAATGGGTTTGTCACTTACTAGCTGTATGAAACCTGGGCCAAACCACTTCAACATCTCCAAGACTCAGTGTCCCCATCTGTAAAATAGGATGCTAGCACTTGCCTCAAAGGATTGTTGCTAAGATTAAATGAAATAATGTATGTAAAGCACTCAATACAGTATTTGACATTTAGGATTGCCCATGAGAAAGTAAATATTAGCTCACACTGAGAAGGTAAAAAATCAGCTCAACTGTTCATCAGGCTAGAAAAATAGGCACAGATAAAGTCAGCTGCAAAGTTAACAGGATGCAATGTCTCCTAAGGACGTGCTGCAGCTGTAAAGTATCATAATAACCCCCTTCTTCAAGTGACTACAGCTTTCCTACTCACTCAGAAACATTGTTCTCTAAAACCATAGACATCACAAACTTTGGTGTTGGCAATTATATCAGTAAAAATGAAGCAGCCCCAATTTACGACCCAGGTGCAGTGCTTTGGGTGGGGGGTTTCTGGACATAGCATTGTATACCTATCTTAACTTTATTGTTTCCGAACAACACAATTCTCAGTCTACTTTGCAGTCCAGGCTGGACATTGACCCCTTTACACACAGCTAAGATTTACTTTGAGTCTATCAAAATTCTGCTGTATTTAAACTGTATCTTGGCTCTGCTAAAGGTTACTATCTTCCAGCATGTGTTATTAAGTAGAAGTACGTATTACATATTCATAGAGTTCCATTTGGAGCATCTTATAAATTTCTTTTTAACAATTAAAAAATGATATTTGTGAAGTTAGCTACAGTTAAGCAAATTGAATGGTTTTTGCCTCCATGTGAAACTGGTCTGGGATTAAGTTTCTTAGAGTTTCTCTCAGTTCTAGTACCCTTCTAAACAGTTATTTGAGTGATAAAACTTATTGCCCAGGAAGCTGGGGTTTTTTCGTTTGTTTGTTTTTGAGACTGAGTCTCACTCTGTCACCGAGGCTGGAGTACAGTGGCACGACCTTGGCTCACTGCAACCTCCGCTTCCCAGGTTCAAGCTATTCTCCTGCTTCAGTCTCCCTAGTAGCTGGGATTACAGGCGCCTGCCACCATGCCCAGCTAATTTTTGTATTTTTAGTAGAGACAGAGTTTCACCATGTTGGCCAGGCTGGTCTCGAACTCCTGACCTCAAGTGATCCACCCACCTCAGCCTCCCAAAATACTGGGATTACAGGCATGAGCCACCGCACCCAGCCTGATTTTTAAAAGTCAAATAAAAAATACTATGTCAGTGTTCCATTATCAAAAAATAGGATCTCTGATCTCTTCAGCAGATCTTGTTGATTAGTTACTATAACTTTATTTCCATACATTATGCAGCAGTTATTTTTTAGAATATTCTTAGATTCTATGTTAGTTAATTCACTTTTCAGAACTAACTACTTAGCAATATTATCTTGCTTCAGGCTTGGTGGTGAATTCTCCAGTGTTATATTCAGTTCCAAGAAAGATGTTTGAACATGTTCACACCTATTGGGTCTTGGACCCAATAGCAAGGTAGGTGTGAACATGTGCAAGTATTAGTCTTCCTTTCCTGAATGACCACTTCACATCTTTTAGTTTCGACAACTGTCTTGTTTCTCCTAAGGTGTATATTATTCATGCACATTAATCTTAACTAAGAAGATTAAGGTACCATAAAATTTCTTTGTTTTTTAGATCTAAATTTTTGAGATTATATTCTTTATGATGGACATTTTGGTTATTTTAAATCTTTCACTATTAAAAGCACACTGCAATGAATGCTTTCCTCGCACCCTCCTGAGATTAAAAGATAATCTATTTTCTGAGTATTAATGGCGTAAAACACAGGCATGCCTCCCTAACATATGTAGGCTTCAATCAGACTTGCTATAGCAGCTGCATCTCAGTTTTGAAGTCTGGATACCAAAGCCAGTTGTACACGTAGGAGGATTGGATTGGCAGTGGCCTGTGTTGTGTGCTTTGAGAGATGCCAGACATATCCCCACCCCCAAGCTTACCATAGTGCCTACAATTTCAACAACAAAGATTCATTCCTTTGGGTTTATAATTTGCTATCTCAGGGTAATCCTTTAAACAAATCATTCCTCCCTAATTATGGTTATTGTAGAAAATTGAGAACATACAGAGAAGTTAATAAATGAAAATAGAAATTACCTGTAGCTCACAACTCAAAAACCACTACTGTTAACATTTTGGTATTTTGTTTTCCTTTCCCATACATGAAATTGAAAAGTTGATTGTATTAGTCCGTTTTCACTCTGCTAATAAAGGCATACTCAAGACAAGGCAATTTACAAAAGAAAGAGGTTTAATTGGACTTACAGTTCCACGTGGCTGGGGAAGGTTCAACAATTATGATGGAAGACAAAAGGCACTTCTTATATGGCACAGGTCCAACAATCATGGCGGAAGATGAAAGGCACTTCTTACACGGCGGCAGCAAGAGAGAATGAGTAGGAAGCAAAAGCGGAAACCCCTAATAAACCCATCAGATCTCATGAGACTTATTTGCTATCACAAGAATAGCACAGGAAAGACCAGCCCCCATGATTCAATTACCTCCCCTTGGGTCCCTCCCACAACACATGTGAATTCTGGGAGATACAGTTCAAGTTGAGATTTGGGTGGGGACACAGTCAAACCATATCATTCCACCCCTGACCTCTCCAAATCTCATGTCCTCACATTTCAAAACCAATCATGCCTTCCCAACAGTCCCCCAAAGTCTTAACTCATTTCAGCACTAACCCAAAAGTCCACAGTCCAAAGTCTTATCTGAGACAAGTCCCTTCTGCCTATGAGCCTGTAAAATCAAAAGCAAGCTAGTTACTTCCTAGGTACAATGAGGATACAGGTATTGGGTAAATACAGCCATTCCAAATGGGAGAAATTGGCCAAAACAAAAGAGTTACAGGGCACATGAAAGTCTGAAATCCAACAGGGCAGTCAAATTTTAAAGCTCCAAAATGATCTCCTTTGACTGCAGGTCTCACATCCAGGTCATGCTAATGCAAGAGGTATGTTCCCATGGTCTTGGGCAGCTCCGCCCCTGTGGCTTTGCAGGGTACAGCCTCCCTCCTGGATGCTTTCGTGGGCTGGCATTGAGTGTCTGCATCTTTTCCAGGCGCATGGTGCAAGCTGTCGGTGGATCTACCATTCTGGGGTCTGGAGGACAGCAGCCCTCTTCTCACAGCTCCACTAGGCAGTGGCCTAGTAGGGACTCTGTGTGCGGGCTCTGACCCCACATTTCCCTTCCACCCTGCCCTAGCAGAGGTTCCCCCATGAGGACCCCACCCCTGCACCAAACTTCTGCCTGGGCATCCAGGCGTTTTCATACATCTTCTGAAATCTAGGCAGAGGTTCCCAAACCTCGATTTTTTACTTCTGTGCACCCACAGGCTCAACACCATGTGGAAGCTGCCAAGTCTTGGGGCTTCTACCCTCTGAAGCCACAGCCCAAGCTGTACATTGGCCCCTTTCAGCCACGGCTGGAGGGCTAGGACACAAGGCACCAAGTCCCTAGGATGCACACAGCACTGGCACCCTGGGCCCAGCCCACAAAACCACATTTTCCTCCTGGGCCTCCAGGCCTGTGATGGGAAGGGCTGCCATGAAGGTCTCTGACATGCCCTGGAGACATTTTCCCCATGGTCTTGGAGATTAACATTAGGTTCCTTGCTACTTATGCAAATTTCTGCAGCCAGCTTGAATTTCTCCCCAGAAAATGGGTTTTTCTTTTCTATCAAACAGTCAAGCTGCAAACTTTCTGAATTTTTATGTTCTGTTTCCCTCTTAAAACAGAATGCCTTTAACAGCACCCAAGTCACCTTTTGAATGCTTTGCTGCTCAGAAATTTCTTCCACCAAATACCGTAAATCATCTCTCTCAAGTCAAGTTTCCACACATCTCTAGGGCAGGGGCAAAATGCTGCCAGTCTCTTTGCTAAAATATAACAGAAGTCACCTTTGCTCCAGTTCCCAACAAGTTCCTCATCTCCATCTGATACCACCTCAGCCTGGACCTTATTGTTCATATCACTATCAGCTATCACTATCAAGAATTCAAATACTTGTAAAAGGAGGAGCAAATTGCTTGTGCCTTATGCCTCTCATGGATTCAATCAAGCTGATGGTTTTCTTCCCATTTGGGGAAGGTAAGGACACTGGAGGAAGTAAGTATCACAGAAAGGAAGGCAGAGGCCACTGAAGAGAAACGTTATCCTTTTTCTTGCTCAGCCAGCCTGTCTGAGAACAACGGAAATAGTTGCTAAGATGACGTTCTTTCCACCTTCATTAGATAGTGGATTCCACCAGCTTTTGAGCTCCCTGAGGGTGGGGCCTCTGCCTCCAGCATAATGCCAACAGCCTTATTTTTTATTAGATTTGACTTTCAAAAGAACCCACACTTGTGCACTTCATGTGCTGATGCAACTAAACAGCTTTTGACACACCAATTCATTCCTTCCTATCTCTGCTGACCAATGATGACTGTGAACTTTCTCATGAAGATGGCCCTCCCCGCTGCTGGTGCTGAGAAACAGGATCTAGCAAGGCAGCTGATACATGGGTGAGAGCTCATGGGGGTGCCCACTAGTGCCCTCTGAAAAGTCCCCAGGCAAGCGTTTCCTTTCTGGGGAGCCCTTAGACAACTCATGGAGGGCTGGCCATCCCCTGTCCAAACCTTCTCCACACTCCCATGACACCACTAAGCTGCAGACAGCACCAGGTTCAAGCAGGTGGTAGTGGAACCTCCTGGGTGGCTAGGTGGTGAGAAAGGCCCACTCTCTCAGCTTGGCAGGAGATGAGGGGACACACTTCTCTTTCCGTCTCACCTTCCGGAGGCTATCCAAATTCTGCCACTTAGGCAGAGGGAAGGCATGAGAAATCAGAAAGGGGAAATTCCCAGCTCTACTTCCTCAATCCCAAAGGCAAGCTGGCAAGCTGCAAGCTTTCAAATACAGGAATCAGAGATTCACTCGGGCAATCATTCAATAAACATTTATTAAAAGCCCAGTATGGGCCAAGCATTATTCTAAGTGTTGGGGGTGCAGTGGAAAATTTCTGTCCTCAAAAGTTTACATTGCAGGAAAAAAAGATACATAAATAAACAAGTAAATAAATGAGGACGGTTTTTATGTAAGTAGAACGTATAAAGTACAAACATTAATGCTAAAATAATTCAATGTATTAATCACTCTGATTCATGCCCAGAATTTCTCTTCATTACCAAGCTGCATAAAATCTAAGAATATTCTTCAGTTCAATTTAACAAACTGAGTGCCTACTTCCTACGGTGGGCTTGAAAACTGTAAAGACCGAAAAGAGGCTCCCTGCCCTCCAGACACTCCTCTTCTAATGTATTAATGTATTCAACTAATCACCATAGTCAGTGGTTGTACTACACATCTTCATTTAGGGAGGGGAGACGTATGTACTTCCATTCATGGAGCCAGCACATCCTGGGTCCACCAGCTCAGAACCTGCACCTAGCTTCTCATTCAATGCATGTGTATAGCTATGATTCTAAGAAAGAATTCATTTCACCCCTCCTCTCTTCCACACTTCCTAACCTCTGCTTGCCTCCCATTTCCCTAACTACTCTTTCTCCCCAAGCCATCAGAGACTGCCATCTCCTTGCATTCCTATTGTTCCTAGGGTCAGGAGACACTGGCAACACTCTCTTGGTGCTTTCCTCATCTAATTGGACTGAGTTTCCTACCTCCACAAACTCCTAAGGCAGGAAAGAATTCTTGGTACAATGTACTCATGTTACAGATCAAACAATTGAGGCCCAGAGAACTTAAGTGACTTATCCAAGGTCAAATGCTTAGTTGCTTCCTACAAGAGGCATTTTTGCTGGAGTGAGTCTAGGGAAAGGTTTTCAGAGACAGAGTTTCACAGACTTAAAGGGTTTTGCTTGCCTGCTGCTCCCTGTTAGCATAGAAATGAAGAAGAACCCTCAGTTAACCAAATGCAGGTAATGCACAGAGCACTAAAATCACCTGGCCACCTGGAGATGTAGGAGTAGGAGCAGGATTACTAGTGGTCAAGAAGTAAGTGGTCAGTGAGGGGTCAAGCCTGACTCCCTTGTGAGGTCTGTTGGTGGGGAGAGAGGATGGTAATCAATAACTTAAATGGGCTGGGCGCCGTGGCTCACGCCTGTAATCCCAACACTTTGGGAGGCTGAGGTGGGTGGATTACCTGAGGCCAGGAGTTCGACACCAGCCTGACCAACATGGCAAAACCCCGTTTCTACTAAAACTACAAAAATTAGCCAGGTGTGGTGGCAGACTCCCGTAATCCCAGCTACTTGGGAGGCTGAGGCAGGAGAATTGCTTGGACCCAGGAGGCAGAGGTTGCAGTGAGCCGAGATTGTGCCATTGCACTCTAGCCTGGGCGACAGAGCAAGACTCCTTCTCAAAAAAAAAAAAAAAAAAAAAAAAAAACTTAAATGAAGAGGATTCTTATTACAGAAATGCAAATCAGAACCACAACGAGATACCATCTCACACTAGTTACAACAGCCATTATTAAAAAGTCAAAAACAACAGATGCTGGACAGGTTGCAGAGAAAAGGGAATGCTTATACCCTGTTGGGAGTGTAAATTAGTGAAACCATTGTGGAAAACAGTGTGGTGATTCCTCAAACAGCTAAAAATAGAACTACCATTCAACCCGGCAATCCCATTACTGGGTGTATACCCAAAGGAATATAAATCCTTCTACCATAAAGACACATGGACATATATGTTCACTGCAGCACTATTCACAATAGCAAGGACATGGAATCAACCTAAATGCCCATTAATGGCAGAATGGATGAAGAAAATGTGGTATGGATATGCTGTGGAATACTATGCAGCCATGAAAAAGGAATGAGATCATGTCCTTTGCAGGAACATGGATGGAGCTGAAGGCCATTATCCATAGCACAGTAATGCAGGAACGAGAGACCAAATGCCGCATGTTCTCACTCACAGGCAGGAGCTAAGTGATGAGAATATGTGGACACAAAGAGGGGAACAACACACACTGGGGCCGAGGGTGAGAGGAGGGAGAGGATGAGAAAAAGGAACTATTGGTTGCTAGGCTTAGTACCTAGATGACAAAATAGTCTGTACAATAAACCCCCATGACACAAGTTTACCTATAAAACAAACCTGGGGCGGTGGCTCACGCCTGTAACCCCAGCGCTTTGGAAGGCCGAGGCAGGTGGATCACGAGGTCAGGAGATCGAGACCATCCTGGCTAACACAGTGAAACCCCGTCTCTACTAAAACTACAGAAAAATTAGCCGGGTGTGGTGGCAGGCGCCTGTAGCCCCAGCTACTCGGGAGGCTGAGGCAGGAGAATGGCGTGAACCCAGGAGGCGGAGCTTGCAGTGAGCCGAGATCGCACCACTGCACTCCAGCCTGGACGACAGAGCGAGACTCCGTCTTAAAAAAATAAATTAAATTTAATTTAATTTAAAAATTAAAAAAAAAAACAAACAAACCTGGACATGTACCCTGAACGTAAAATGAAAGTTAGAAAAAAAAGTAAAGAAGATTATCATTTCAGGAAAAGGGAGACATAAACATGGTGGTGGGCAGAGGGAGAAGATCATTTATTAGAAAAGATTGAAGTTGAGAGGCCAGGCACGGTGGCTCACACCTGTAATCCCAGCACTTTGGGAGGCTGAAGTGGGTGGATCATCTAAGGTCAGAGGACAGGAGTTCAAGACCAGTCTGGCCAACATGGTGAAACTTCATCTCTACTAAAAGTACAAAGATTAACCAGGCATGATGGTGGGTGCCTGTAATCCCAGCTACTCAGGAGGATCACTTGAACCTGGAAGGTGGAGGCTGTAGTGAGCCAAGATCCTG